>NW_021160012.1:0-204956 GCF_000001405.40 Homo sapiens
GGGAAAAGGCGGGAAACAAATACAGACCTGACCATGGAGGGTTTGTGTTTCATGGCTCCCATCTGGGTACCCAAGGAACCTACATGTAGCTCGTGTGTGGAGAGCCTACATTGCCCACTCAAAGCAATTGAGGATGGAACAGTCTTGGGGCTGGAGCTCATTATTTGGAATGATAACCACATCTGCACAGAGAGGACCTGATAAGATGTTGTCCTTCCATGTATATCTGGGAATCCTGTGTAGGGTCTCTCTGTAAGGACAGGGGCAGTGTTGGCTCCTTGGCCTCTAGTTAGCCTCACGAGTAGTCTAGTAAAGGCTTTGCCAACTTGTCACCATCTGTGGATATTCTGGCCAGCTCTTGTTTTCACCCTACTGACTTCTTCAGACACTAGGCTTTTGCTTTAGACCACTCATGGTTTTTCTTCCTCTTCAAATCAGTAATCAATAAATCCTCTTCAAATCAATAGATTTCCACTCCTTTAGGAAACTCTGATCTTCTGGTCATGCCAAGGTTTAATTAACTGGTTTAATTGTTTTTCTGTTTTCTTGGTTTCTTTTTCCTTCTTCCTGGGGGTTTCTAGTAATTTTAGTTTGATGTCTCACTTTCTCCATTTTTTAGTTCTTAGTTTTCTTCTGTGATTATTTTCACTGCAGCTGCAGGGCCTAATCCTGGGTTGGCAGAGAACTAGCATTTACTCTGCCCTAATTGGAATCCGGGAGAGATAGGAGGTGCCCTAGTGTGAAAATGTGTTTGCTCCTCTTTGCTTCTGGTAGTCTCTCTGTAGGAGTACTTTACGTATTCTGAATATTCACTTCTTATGAGATACATGATGTGCAACTATAGGTTGAATGTCTCTGATCCAAAAATTTGAAATCCCAAATGCTCCAAATTCTGAAACTTTTTGAGTGCCAACATGACACTCAAAGGAAATGCTTATTGGAGCATCGCAGACTCAAGTGTTTGAATTCGAGATGCTCAACCAGTAAGAATAATGCAAATATTACAAAATCTGAAACACATCCCAAGCATTTCAAATAAGGGACACTCAACTGGTATTTTCTTTTATTCTACAGTTTGCCTTTTACCCTGTTGGTTGTGACCTTTGAGGTACAGAAGTTTTTAGGTTTGATATATTTTTGCTTTTACTGCCTGAGCTTTTAATGTCGTATCCGAAAAATTATTGACAAATTCATCGTCATAAAGCATTTTCCAAATTTGTTTTCCCTAGGAGTTTGATAGTTCTAGTTTTACATTTAGGTTTATAATTCACTTTGAATTAATTTTAACGTGGTGTAAGGTAAGAGTCCAACTTCATTGTTTTGCATGTAGATATACAATTTTCCCAACACCATTTGTTGAAGAAACTGTCCTTTGCCATTGAGTGGTCTTGGCATCCTTCTGGAAGATCATCAAACCATATATGCCAGGGTTGGCTTCTGAGGTCTCTGTTGTGTTGGTCCATAAGTGTGTCAAGTATGTCTTTATGCCATGACCACATTTTTTTTTGGCTTATTGCAGTTTGTTAATTGTATTGAGACCTTTAATTTTGTTCTGTTTCAAGATTGATTTGCCTATTCATGGGCCCTGGAGATTCCATATGAATTTTAATATAGGTTTTTCTGTTTATCAAAAATGTCATTGGAATCTTTATAAGGATTGTATTGAATCTAGGTCACTTCGAGTAGTGTTGACATCATTCCAAGATGAAATCATCTAATCTGCAAACCCAGCTTTTCTTTTTCATTTATTTGTGTTTAATTTCTTTCAACAGTGTTTTGTAGTTTTCTGTGTTCAAATCTTTTGCCCTTTTTGTTAAGCTTATTTTTAATTTTTATAATGCTGTTTTAAATGTAATTCTTTTTTTTTTTTTTTTGAGATGGAGTCTTGCTCTGTCTCCCAGGCTGGAGTGCAGTGGCACTATCTCAGCTCACTGCAACCTGCGCCTTCTTTATTCAAGCGATTCTCCAACCTCAGCCTCTCAATTACCTGGGATCACAGGTGTGCGCCAGCACGCCCAGCTAATTTTTTGGTATTTTTAGTAGAGACAGGGTATCTCCATGTTGACCAGGCAAGTCTTGAACTTGTGACCTCAGGTGATCTGCCCGCCTCGGCCTCCCAAACTGCTGGGATTGCAGGCATGAACCACTGCACCCAGCCAAATGTCATTCTTTTCAAAAATTTCTTTTCTTTTGTTTTATCTTTCTTTTCTTTTCTTTCTCTCTCTTTCTTTCCTTTCTTTCTTTTCTTTGAGATGGCGTCTCACTCAGTTTCCTAAGCTGGAGCGCAGTGGCACAATCTCAGCTGACTGCAACCTCCACCTTCCAAGTTCAAGCAATTCTCCTGCCTCAGCCTCCCAAGTAGCTGGGACTACAGGTGTCTGCCACTATGCCCAGGTAATTTTTGTATTTTTAATAGAGACAGAGTTTTACTATTTATATTAGAGATGGGATTGGCCCAGCTGGTCACGAACTCCTGACCTCAGGTGGTCTACCCGACTTGGCCTCCCAAAGTGCTGGGATTATAAGTGTGAGCCACTGCACCTGGCCTCTCTTTTTAAAATTTCATTTGCAGATTGTTCATTGTTAGTTTATGGAAATGCAACTGACTTGTGTGTGTTACTGTATCCTGAAACTTTGTTGAATTTCATTATTTTACCAGTATTTTGTGGAATTTCAGGATTTTTCCCATTACATCCTGTTGTCTGTGAACAAAATTTTGTACTTTTTCCTTTCCAATTTGCATGCTTTTTATTACTTTCTCTTGCCTAATTATTCTGAGTAGAAATTCCAGTGCTTTGGTGAATAGAAGTGGCAGTAAGGGATGTTGCTATCTTATTCCTGATCCTAGAGGAAAAGATTTTAGTTTTTCACCATTGAGTATGATGTTAGCTGTGAGCTTTTCATGTACAATCTTTATTTACTGAGGAGTTTCCATATATTACTAATTCTTTGAGTCTTTTTATTACAAAAGGTGTTCATCTGGCTCTGGAACCAGATAAATGTTGACCTGATAGAATGGATTGGAATGTCCCCTTCTGGTTTTTGAACATTTTTGGAATATTTTGCAGAGGATTGGCATTAATTCTTCTTGAAATGTTTGGTAAAATTCTCCAGTGAAGTTATCTGGACCTGGAATTTTCTTTTTTGGGGGGTTTTTGATTACTGGTTGAATCTTCTTACTAGTTACAGGTCTCTTTGGATTTTTTATTTCTCCGTGATTCAGTATGGTGGTTTGTGTTTCTAGGAATTTATAAATTTATTCTAGGTTGCCCAGTTTTGTGGCATACGGTTGCTCACATTAGTCTCTTTTAATCTTTTTCATTTCTGTGGCATCTGTTGTACTGTCACCTCTTTTATTTACGATTTTAGTATTTGAGATTTCTCTTTTTTTCTTAATATAGCTGTGAGTTTTAAAATTGTTATTGATCTTTAAAAAAAACTCAGTGTGTTTTTTTTTCCTTTTTTTTCTGGTATTATTCTGCTTATCTCTGCTCTAATCTGTTATTTTCTTCCTTTTGCTTGGTTTGTCATTAGTTTTTTTTTTTTCCCCCCTTCAGGTGTAATGTTAGGTTATTGATTTGAGATCTTTCTTCTTTTTAATTTAAGCACCTGCAGCTATAAGCTTCCCTTTAGCATGGGTTTGAGATCTTTCTTCTTTTTAATTTAAGCATCTGCAGCTGTAAGCTTCCCTTTAGCATGGGTTTGAGATCTTTCTTCTTTTTAATTTAAGCATCTGCAGCTGTAAGCTTCCTTTTAGCACGGGTATGAGGTCTTTCTTCTTTTTAATTTAAGCATCTGCAGCTGTAAGCTTCCCTTTAGCACTGCCTTTGTTGCCTCCTCCTGAGTTTGGGTATGTCATGGTTTTCTTTTCGTTTGCTTAAACATTTTTTGTCCTATTGTAATATAATTGCATTGTTTTTAATAAAGGTAATTAATGAAACACATAATGAATTTTGCTTCTGTTTTTATAATATTTTAAGCATTCTTAACTCAGAAATGTAAATTTTAGAAAAAAATTCCAGGCCAGGCACAGTGGCTCACACCTTTAATCCCAGCACTTGGGGAGGCCGAGGCGGGTGGATCATCTGAGGTCAGGAGTTGGAGACCAGCCTGGCCAACATGGTGAAACCCTGTCTTTACTAAAAATAGAAAATATATATATAAAAGTTAGCTGGGTGTCGTGGCGGGTGCCTGTAATCCCAGCTACTCTGGAGGCTGAGGCAGGATAATCACTTGAATCTGGGAGGCGGAGGTTGCAGTGAGCTGAGATTGCACCACTGCACTCCAGCCTGGGTGACAGAACGAGAGTCCATCTCAAAAAAAAAAAGAAAAAAGAAAAAATTTCAGACATATTTATATGTATTTCCATTTAGAAACTATGATCTCCTAAGTGTATTGACACAACAACCTGACATAAAGATAAAGAATAATAAGCATATAACAAAACGGAAACTTGCAAATACCTGTTTTTTATTAATTTTTAGTTATATATATTTAAAAATTGCCAGGTGCAGTGGCTTACACCTGTAATCCCAGCACTTTGGGAGGCTGAGGTGGGCAGATCACATGAGGTCAGGAGTTTGAGACCAGCCTGGCCAACATGGTGAAACCTCATCTCTATTAAAAATCAAAAAATTAGCCAGGCATGATAGCATGCATCTGTAGTCCCAGCTACTCGGGAGACTGAGGCAGGAGAATTGCTTGAACATGGGAGGCAGAGGTTGCAGTGAGCCAAGATAGTGCCACTGCACTCCAGCCTGGGTGACAGAGTGAGACTCTGACTCAAAAAATTAAAAATTGCCTGGGTGCGGTGGCTCACACCTGTAATCGGAGTACTTTGGGAAGCTGAGGCAGGCAGATCACGTCAGGAGATCAAGACCATCTGGGCTAACACGGAGAAAAGCCGTCTCTACTAAAAATACAAAAAATTAGCCGGGCGTGGTGGCGGGTGCCTGTAGTTCCAGCTACTCCGGAGGTTGAGGCAGGAGAATGGTGTGAACCTGGAGGGTGGAGCTTGCAGTGAGCCGAGATTGCACCACTGGACTCCAGCCTGGGTGACAGAGCGAGACTCTGTCTCAAAATAAAATAAAATAAAATAAAACTAAGTTGTGGTTGACATACAAAAATTACAAATATTTAATATATACCTTGTGTGTATGTGTTTGTGTGTGTGTGTGTGTGATGGATGTTTTACTCTTGTGGCCCAGGCTGGAGTGCAGTGACACGATCTCAGCTAACTGCAACCTCTGCCTCCCAGGTTCAAGCAATTCTCCTGCCTCAGCCTCCTGAGTAGCTGGTATCGCAGGTGTGCGCCCCCACACCCAGCTAATTTTTGTATTTTTTTAGTAGAGACAGGGTTTCACCATGTTGGCCAGGCTGGTCTCGAACTCCTGACCTCAGATGATCCACCTGCCTTGGCCTCCCAAAGTGCTGGGACTACAGGCATGTGACACCGAATATATACATCTTAATGAGTTTAGTGATAAGTATTCTCCCCAGGACTCATCACAACAAATAATGCCGTAAACTTGACCATCACTCCCCATATATTTCTCATTCTCACGCTTTTTAAAAAATGAGACCGGGAGCGGTGGCTCACGCCTGTAATCCCAGCACTTTGGGAGGCCGAGGCAGGTGGATCACGAGGTCAGGAGATCAAGACCATCCGGGCTAACACAGTGAAACCCCGTTTCTACTAAAAATACAGAAAATTAGCTGCGCGTGATGTCAGGCGCCTGTAGTCCCAGCTACTTCGGAGACTGAGGCAGGATAATGGTGTGAACTCGGGAGGCAGAGCTTGCAGTGAGCCAAGGTAGTGCCACTGCACTCCAGCCTGGGCAACAGAGCGAGACTCCATGTCAAAAAAAAAAAAATGAGATGACCATTTCACCTAAAATATACCCTCTTAAGTTTTTTTTTACGTGTACAATACAGGACGGCCATGCATCAGAGATATATGTGGGTTTGGTTCCAGACCACTGCAATAAAGTGAGTTATACAATTTCTTTTGGTTTCCCAGTGCATGTAAAAGTATGTTTATACTGTGCTGTATAAAGTGTGCAACAGCATATGTCTACAAAGTGTGCATACTTTAATTTACAAATACTTTATTGTTAACAAGTGCTAACAGTCATCTGAGCCTTCAGAAAACTGCAATCTTTTTTTGTGTGTGTGACAGGGTTTTACTCTGTGGCTCAGGCTGGAGTAATTGCAGCCTCAACCTCATGCTCGATCAAACCTCCACCTCAGACTCCTGACTAGCTGGGACTACAGGTGCATGCCACCATGTCCAGCTAATTCTTGTATTTTTTTTTTGTAGAGATGAGGTTTTGACATGTTGCCTTGACGTCCTGGGCTCAAGCAATCCACACAACTTGGCCTCCCAAGTTGTTGGGATGACAGGTGTGAGCCACTGCACCTGGCCAAGTTTCAGTCTTCTTGCTGATGGAGGGACTTGCCTTAATGTAAGGTGGTGGTTGCTGAGCGTTGGGGTGGCTGTGGCAATTTCTTAAAATAAGACAACATTGAAGTTTGCTGTGTCAATTGACTCTCTGTTTCACAAAAGAATTATCTGTAGCATACGATGTTGTTTGATAGCTTTTTACCCACAGTAGAACTTTCAAAATTGGATTCAATCCTGTCAGACCTTCGTACTGCTGTACCAACTAAGTTTATGTATTATTGTAAATCACTGGGTTCAATCCTGTCAAGCCCTCCTTCTGCTGTACCAACTAAGTTTATTCTAAATCTGTTGTCATCTCAACAATGTTTACACTGTCTTCACCACGAGTAGATTTCATCTCAAGAAACCACTTTCTTTGCTCATCCGTGGAAGCAACTCATCCACTCACGTTTTCTCTGGAGGCTGCTGCGGTCTCGCCACATCTTCAGGCTCTGTCTCTGTTTCTAGTGCTCTTGTTATTTCCACCATATCTGCAGTTACTTCCTACAGAGAAGTCGTGAACCCCTCAGTGTCATCTGTGAGGGTTGGAATAATCTTCCCAACTTCTCTCTCTCTTTTTTTTTTCTTTTTTTGAGATGAAATCTTGCCTGGGCTGGAGTGCAGTGATGCGATCTCAGCTCACTGCAACCTCCACCTCCCGGGTTCAAGCAATTCTCCTGCCTCAGCCTCCCAAGTATTTGGGATTACAGTCACCCCCGACCAGGCCCAGCTAATTTTTTGTGTGTTTTTAGTACAGAGAGGATTTCACTTTGTTGGCCAGTCTGGTCTCAAATTCCTGACCTCGTGATCCACGTGCCTTGGCCTCCCAAAGTGCTGGGATTACAGGCATGAGCCACCAAGCCCGGCCCCAACTTCTCCTAATGTTGCTATTTTGATCTTCTTTTTTAAATCATCAATGTTCTCAATAGCATCTAGAATGGTGAATCCTTTCCGGTAGGTTTTCAATTATTTTGCTCAGATCTATCAAAGGAATCACTTTCTAGAGAAGCTATAGCTTTATGAAATATATTTTTAAGTGATAAGACTTGAAAGTTGAAATTATTCTGTGATCCAAGGGCACTAGAATGAATGTTGGGTTAGTAGGCATGAAAACAATATTCAGCTCTTTATACATCTCTGTAAATGCCCTTGAGTACCAGGGGCATTGTCAGTGAGCGGTAATACTTTGAAAATAATCTTATTTCTTGAGCAGTAGGTGTCAACAGTGGGCTTAAGATATTCAGTAAACCATATTTGTAAACCGATAGTCTGTCATCCAGGCTTTGTTCCCATTTGTAGAGTACAGGCAGAGCTGTGTTTTATCATAATTCTTCAGGGCCCTTGGATTTTCAGAATAGTAAATCATCATTGGTTTCAAGTTAACATCACCAACTGCATTAGCCCTTAACAAAAGAGTCAGCATGTCCTTTGAAGCCTTAAAGCCAGGCATCAACTCCTCTCTAGCTGGGAACATCCTAGATGGCATCTCCTTCTAGTAGAAGGCTGTTTTGTCTCCATTGCAAATCTGTTTAGTGTAGCCATCTTAATCAGTTATCTTCTAGATAGCTTTCTGCAGGTTTTCCATCAGTACTCGCTGCTTTATCTTGCGCTTTTATGTTATGGAGATGACTTTTTTCCTTAAACCTCAAGAAACAAGCTCTTCTAGCTTCAGACTTTTCTTCTGCAGCTGCCTCACCTCTCTGAGTCTTCATAGAATTGAAGAGAGACTGGATGCGGTGGCTGTCACACCTGTAATCCTAGCAATTTGGGAGGCCGAGGCGGGCAGATCACCTGAGGTCGGGAGTTCGACACCAGTCTGACCAACGTGGAGAAACCCCATCTCTACTAAAAATATAAAAAATCAGCCAGGCGTGGTGGCGCATGCCTGTAATCCCAGCTACTCGGGATGCTGAGGCAGGAGAATGGCTTGAACTTGGGAGGCAGAGGTTGCGATAAGCCAAGATGGCGCCATTGCACTCCAGCTTGGGCAAGAAGAATGAAACTCTGTCTTAAAAACAAAGAAAAAAAGTAAAAAGAGAGGCTTAGGCTTAATGGAATTTTTTTTCATCTTCTATCTAGACCAATTAAACTTTCTTCATAACAGCAGCAAGACTGTTTAGCTTTTTATCATTCATGTGTTCACTGGAGTAGTACTTTAAATTTCTTTCCAGAACACTTCGTTTGCATTCACAACTTGGCTAAGTGTTTGTTGCATGAGGTCTAGCTACTGGCCTGTCTTGCTTACAGCATGCCTTCCTCACTAAGCTTAATTATTTCTTCCTTTTGGTTTAAAGTGACAGACATGCAACTCTTCTTTCACTTGAACATATAGAGGCTATTGTAGGGTTATTAATTGGCCACATTTTAATATTAATAAAAAGAAGCCTGAGAAAAAGAGAGAGAAAGAGAAATGGCCCGTTGGTGGGGCAGTCAGAACAAACGCATTTGTCAATTGTTTGCGGTCTTATCCGGGTGTGATTTGTGGTTCCCAAAACAATGACAACAGTACCATTAAAGATCACTGATTACAGATCACCATAACAGATTCAATAATAAAAAGCTTAAAATACTGTGAGAATGCCGAAATGTGACACAGAGACGTGAAGTGAGCACAAGCTCTAGGAACAATGGTGCCAGTGAGACCTGCTTATTGCAGGGTGGCCACAAACTTTCAATATGTAAAAAACATGGTCACAAAACACAATAAAGCAAAGTGCAGTGAAACAAGATGTGTCTGTCTTTTCATAGGCTCTGACAATCTCTATCTTTGAATTGGTACATTCATACTATTAACATTCAAAGTGATTATTGATATCATTGGATTAATATATATTATATTTGTTACTGTTTTCTATTCATTCTCCTCAGTCTTCATTCTTTTGTCTACCACTCTTTTTCTGCCTTTTGCAGTTTTCATTGATGATTTTAGATGACTACATTTTCAGTCTTTTTTAGCATGTACTTCTCTTTTTAAAATTTTTTTTAACTATTTGCCACAGAATTTGCAATATACATTTACAACAAATTCAAGTCCACTTTCAAATAACACTATCCCACTATCCCACAAATAGGACTACCTGCTTAACAAACAAAACACCTAATTCCTCAATATACATTTACAACCAATTCAAGTCCACTTTCAGATAACACTATCCCACTTCACGGGTGACTACCTGCTTAACAAAGAAAACACCTGATTCCTCCCTCCCATTCTTCCATTCCATTCCTTGTATTATTGTTCCTTATTTCCCTTGTGTATAAGCATACATAATCTATCTGTGTGTATTTATTGTTATCTACAAACTTATTGGTCAGATCAATTATGAATAAATACATGTTTTTATTTTACCACAATTCCTCCCTCCCATCCTTCCATTGCATTCCTTGTATTAGTGTTACTCATTTCACTTGTGTATAAGCATACATAATCTATCTGTGTGTATTTGTTATTGTCTGTGAACTTCTTGGTCAGATCAATTAAGAATAAATATATAGGTTTTTATTGTACCGCAATTCTTTCTTTAATGATCTTTTTAAAAAATTGTTGATCCAAGTTTCAGTTAAATATCTTTTGTTTCCCTCTAAAGAATTTCATTTAACATTTCTTGCAAGACAGGTCTCCTGGCAACAAGTTTCTTGAATTTTTATTTTTCTGAGGAAGGCCTTAATTCTCCTTCACTTTTGAAGGGTGGTTTCAGTGTGTACAGAAACTTAGGTTGGTGGGGTTTTTTCTGTCAATATTTTCAATTTTTCATTTCACTGTCTTCTTGCTTTCACAATTTCTGCAATGTTGAATGCCGTTCTTATCTTTGTGTCTCTGTAGGTAAGGTGTTTTCTGCCCCACCTCTGGTTTCTTTCAGAGTTTTCCTTTATCTTTTATTTCATATAGTTTGAAAATTATATGTCCAAGTGTAGGTTGTTGGCATTTATTCTGCATGGTGTTCTCGGAGCTTCCTGGATTTTTGGTTTGGTGTCTGACATTAATACTGGAAGTTCTCAGACATGGTAGTTGCAGAACTTTCTTCTATTTCTTCTCCTCCTGGTATTCTCATTACTCTGTTTCACCTTTTGTAGTTGTCCCACAGTCTTGGATATCATCTTCTGTTCTTTTCAGTGTTTCTTTTCTTTAGTTTTTGAAGTTTCTGATGATAAATCCTCAAGCTCAGAGACTCTTTACTCAGCTGAGTCCAGTCTACTAATAAGCCATCAGAGGTATTCTTCAGTTATTTACCACATTTTTTATCACTACATTATGTTGAAGGTTCTTACGATGTCTGTCTTTCTGATTACATTACCCATCTACACTTGAATGCTGTCTACTTCATTCATTAGAGCCCTTAACATATTCTCCAGAGGTTTAAAAAAAATCCAAAATCATATTTTTGTCTGCTTCTGAAGCTTGCTCTGTTGACACAAATTGTATTTTTTTCTTTTTTTGGACTTTAGTATGCCTTGCAATTTGTTCCCTTTATTCTCATGCATGAAGTACCCACGAAAAGTGACTGCTGTTAGTATAGCTTCAGTAATGTGGTGATGAGGTGACAGGGCAGCTGATGCTCTCTTAGTCTCTTTAGGCTACTATAACAAAATACTTTAGACTGTGTAATTCATAAACAACAGAGATTATTGCTCACAGATCTGGAGGCTGGAAAGTCCAAGACTAAAGGGCCAGGATATTTGGTGTTTGGTGAAGGTCAAACATTCAGACACTTGCAACGACTATAGTGACAGCAGCAGTCTTCAGAAATCCTATGTGAGGGACAAACACTCAGAAGCCAGCTGGAGTGTTCTAGAATCCTATGTGAGGGAAAAACATTCAGACCCCAGCAGTAGTGTTGTGGAATCCTATGTGAGGGAAGAACATTCAAACCCTCGTAGCAGTGTTCTGGAATCCTATGTGAGGGAAAAAAATTCAGAACCTCGTAGCAGTGTTCTGGAATCCTATGTGAGGGAAAAAAATTCAGAACCTCGTAGCAGTGTTCTGGAATCCTATGTGAGGAACAATCAGACCACATCAGGAATGTTCTGGAATCCTATGTGAGGGACAAACATTCAGAGTACAGCAGGAGTGTTCTGGAATCCTATGTGTGGGACAAACATTCAGACCACAGCAGGAGTGCTCTGCAATCCTATGTGAGGGACAAACATTTCAAAACCTCGTAGCAGTGTGCTGGAATGTTATGTCAGGGACAGACATTTAGACCCTCACAGCAGTGTTCTGGAATCCCATCTGCGGGACAAACATTCAGACACTCGCAGCAGTGTTCTGGAATTCTATGTGAGGGACAGACATTCAAACCCCAACAGCAGTGTTCTGGAATCCTATGTGAGGGACAAACTTTCAGACCCTCGTAGCAGTGTTCTGGAATCCTATCTGAGGGACAAACATTCAGACCCTCATAGCACTGTACTGGAATACTATGTGAGGGACAAACATTCAGACCATGGCAGTTCCGAAATGCTATGTGAAGGACAAACATTCAGACCTTCGTAGCAGTGTTCTGGAATCCTATGTGAGGGACAAGCATTCAGAACCTCGTAGCAGTGTCCTGGAATCTTATGTGAGGGAGAGACATTTAGACCCTCACAGCTGTGTTCTGGTATCCCATGTGAGAGACAAACATTCAGACCCTCCCAGCCGTGTTCTGGAATTCTATGTGAGGGAAAGACATTCAAACCCCAGCAGCAGTGTTCTGGAATCCGATTTGAGGGGCAGACATTCAGACCCCAGCAGCAGTGTTCTGGAATCCTATGTGAGGGACAAACATTCAGACCCCAGCAGCAGTGTTCTGGAATCCTATGTGAAGGAAAAATATTAAGACCCTCGTAGCAGTGTCCTGGAATCATATGGAAGGGACAACCATTCAGACACCAGCAGAAGTCTTCTGGAATCCTAGGTGTGGGAAAAACATTCAGAACCTAGTAGCAGTGTTCTGGAATCCTATGTGAGGGACATACATTCAGACCACGGCAGCAGTGTTCTGGAATGGTATGTGAAGGACAAATATTCAGACCCTTGTAGCAGTGTTCCGGAATCCTATGTGAGGGACAAACATTCAGACCACAGCAGCAGTGTTCCGGAATCCTGTATGACGGACCAACATTCAGACCCTTGCAACAGTGTTCTGGAATACTAGGTGAGGGAGAATTATTTATACCCTCGTAGCAGTGTTCTGTAATCCTATGTGAGGGACAAACATTCAGACCCCAGGAGCAGTGCTCTGAAATCCTAAGTTAAGGGAAACATTGAGACCCCAGCACGAATGTTCTGGAATCCTATGTGAGGGACAAACATTCAGACCACGGCAGGAGTGTTCTGGAATCCTATGTGAGGAACAAACATTCAGACCTCAGCAGGAGTGTTCTGGTATCCTATATGAGGGATAAGCATTTAGACCCTCGTAGCAGTGTTCTGGAATCCTATGTGAGGGAGAAGCATTCAGAGCACAGCAGGAGTGCTCTGGAATCCCATGTTAGGGACAAACATTCAGAACCTGGTACCATTGTGCTGGAAACCTATGTGAGGGACAGACATTTAGACCCTCGCAGCAGTGTTCTGGAATCCCATGTGAGGGACAAACATTCAGATCCTCGCAGCAGTGTTCTGGAATACTATGTGAGTGACAAACATTCAGACTCCAGCAGCAGTGCTCTGTATTCCTATGTGAAGGACAAACATTCAGAACCCAGGAGCAGTGTTTTGAAATCATATGTTAAGGACAAACATACAGACCCTAGCATCAATGTTCTAGAATCCTATGTGAGGGACATACATTCAGACCCTTGCAGCAGTGTTCTGGAATCCCAGATGGGGGACAAACATTCAGACAATGGCAGCAGTGTTCTGGAATCCTATGTGAGGCACAAACACTCAGAGCCTCGTAGTGGTGTTCTGGAATCCTATGTGAGGAACAAACAATCAGACCACAGCAAGAGTGTTCTGGAATCCTTTGTTAGGGACAAACATTCAGATCACAGCAGCAGAGTTCTGGAATCCTATGTGAAGGACAAACATTCAGACCCTCGTAGCAATGTTCTGGAATCCTAAGTGAGGGACAAACTTTCAGACAACAGCAAGAGTGTTCTGGAATCCAATGTGAGGGACAAACATTCAGACCCTCGTAGTAATTTTCTGGAACCCTAAGTGAGGGACAAACATTCAGACCCTCTTAGCAGTGTTCTGGAGTCCTATGTGAGGGACAAACATTCAGAATTTCATAGCAGTGTTCTGGAATCCTACATGAGGGATAAACATTCAGACCACAGCAGGAGTGTTCTGGAATCCTATGTGAGGGACAAAAATTCAGATGCCAGCATAAGTATTCTGGAATCCTATGTGAGGGACAAACATTCAGACCCTCATAGCAGTGTTCTGGAATCCTGTGTGAGGGACAAACATTCAGACCACAGCAGGAGTGTTCTGGAATCCTACGTGAGGGACAAACATTCAGACCCTTGTGGCAGTGTTCTGGAATCCTATGTGAGAGACAAACATTCAGACCCTCATAACAGTTTTCTGAAATCCTACTTGAGAGACAAACATTCCCACCACAGCAGGAGTGTTCTCGAATCCTATGTGAGGGCAAACATTCAAACCACAGCAGGAGTGTTCTGGAATGCTATGTGAGGGACAAACATTCAGACACTCGCAGCAGGCTTCTGGAATCCTACGTGAGGGACAAATATTTAGACAATGGCAGCAGTGTTCTGGAATCCTATGTGGGGGACAAACATTCAGAGCCTTGTAGTGTTGTGGAATCCTATGTGAGGGACAGACATTTAGACCACAGCAGCAGTGTTCTGGAATCCCATGTGAGAGACAAACATTCAGACCCTGAACAGAAGTGTTCTGGAATCCTATGTGAGGGACAAACATTTAGACCCTCTTTGCAGTGTTCTGGAATCCTATGTGAGGGACAAACATTCAGACGCCAGCAGCAGTGTTTCGGAGTCGTATGTGATGGACAAACATTCAGACCCTTGTAGCTTCTTCTGGAATCCTACGTGAGACACAAACACTCAGAACCCAGCAACAGTGTTCTGGAATCCTATGTGAAGGACAAGCATTCAGACCCTCGTAGCAATGTACTGTAATCCTATGTGAGGGACAAACATTCAGACCATAGCAAGATTGTTCTGGAATCCTATGTGAGGAACAAATATTCCGACCAGGACAGCAGTGTTTTGTAATCCTGTCTGAAGGACAAACATTGAGACCCTTGTAGCTGTTTTCTGGAATCTTATGTGAGGAACAAACACTCAGACCATAGCAGGAGTGTTCTGGAATCCTGTGTGAGGGAGAAATATTCAGACCACTGCATGAGTGTTCTGGAATTCAATTTGAGGGACAAACATGCAGACCCTCGTAGGAGTGTTCTGAAATCCTATGTGATGAACAAACATTCAGACCACAGCAAGAGTGTTCTGGAATCCTATGCGAGGTACAAACATTCAGACCACAGCAGGAGTGTCCTGGAATCCCATGTGAGGTGCAAACATTCAGACCCTCATAGCAGTGTTCTTGAATGCTATGTGAGGGACAAAATTTCACAGCACAGCAGGAGTGTTCTGGAGTCCTATGTGATGGACAAACATTCAGAACACAGCAGGAGTGTTCTGAAATCCTATGTGAGGGACAAATATTCAGACCACAGAAGGAGTGTTCTGGAATCCTTTGTGAAGGACAAACGTTCAGACCCTTGTAGCAGTGTTCAGGAATCCTATGTGAGGGACAAACATTGAGACCCCAGTAGGAGTGTTCTGGAGTCCCATGTGAGGGACAAAGATTCAGACTTTCGTAGCAGTGTTTTGAAATCCTATGTGAGGGACAAACGTTCAGACCACAGCAAGGGGGCTCTGGAATCCTATGTGAGGGACAAACATTCAGAACTTCGTAGCCGTGTGCTGGAATTTTATGTGAGGGAGAGATATTTAGACCCTTGGAGCAGTGTTCTGGAATCCCATAGGAGAGACATACATTCAGACCCTCCCAGCAGTGTTCTGGAATTCTATGTGAGGGACAGACATTCAAACCCCAGCAGCAGTGTTCTGGAATGTGATGTGAGGTACAAACATTCAGACACCAGCAGAAGTGTGCTGGAATACTATGTGAGGGAGAAACACTCAGACCCTCGTAGCAGTGTTGTGGAATCCTATGTGAAGGACAAGCATTCATACCCTCGTAGCAGTGTCCTGGAATCATATGTGAGGGATAAACTTTGAGAATCCAGCAGAGGTGTTCTGGAATCCTAGATGTGGGACAAACATTCAGACCCTCATAGCAGTGTTCTGGAATCCTATGCGAGGGAGAAACTTTCAGACCACGGCATGGAAGCAGAGGTGTTCTGGAATCCTAGGTGTGGGACAAACATTCAGACCCTCATAGCAGTGTTCTGGAATGCTATGTGAGGGAGAAACTTTCAGACCACGGCAGCAGTGTTCTGGAATGCTACATGAAGGACAAACATCCTGACCCTCCTAACAGTGTTATGCGATCCTATGTGAGGGACAGACATTTAGACCCTCGCAGCTGTGTTCTGGAGTCCTATGGGAGGGACAAACATTCAGACCCTTGCAGCAGTTTTCTGGAATCCTTTGTGAGGGAGAGACATTCAGACCCTCATAGTGGTGTTCTGGAATCCTGTGTGACAGACAAACATTCAGAACCTGGTATCAGCGTTCTTCCATCCCATATCAGGGACATACATACCCCAGCCACAGTGTTCTGGAATCCTATGTGACAGACAAACATACAAACAACAGCAGGAGTGTTCTGGAATCCTATGTGAGGAACAAACATTTAGACCCTCGTAGCAGTGTTCTGGAATCCTATGTCAGGGACCAACATTCAGACCCTAGAAGCAGTGTTCTGGAGTGTTATGAGACAGAAAAGCATTCAGACCCTCATAGCAGTGTTCTGGAATTCTATGTCAGGGATATTCAGACCACAGCAGAAATGTTCTGGAATCCTATGTGAGGCACAAACCTTCAGACCACAGCAGGCGTTTTCTGGAATCATATGTGAGGGACATTCAGACCATCACAAGAGTGTTCTGGAATCCTATGTGAAGGGCAAACATTCAGACTCCAGCAGCATTGTTCTTCAATGCTATCTGAGGGAGAAACTTTCAGACAACAGCAGGAGTGTTCTGGAGTCCTATGTGAGGGACAAACTTTCAGAACACAGCAGGAGTGTTCTGAAATCCTATGTGAGGGACAAACATTCAGACCACAGCAGGAGTGTTCTGGAATCCTTTGTGAAGGAGAAATATTCAGACCCTTGTAGCAGTTCTCTGGAATCCTATTTGAGGGACAAATATTCAGAACACAGTAGAAGTATTCTGAAATCCTATGTGAGGGACAAACATTCAAACGACAGCAGGAGTGCTCTGGAGTCCTATGTGAGTGTCAAACATTCAGACAACAGCAGGAGTGTTCTGGAATCCTATGTGAAGAACAAGCATTCAGACCCCAGCAGCAGTGTTCTGGAACCCTATGTGAGGGAAAAGCATCCGTATCCTCGTAGGGGTGTTCTAGAATCCTATGTGAGGGAAAAAAAACTCAGAATCCAGGAGCAGTGCTCTGGAATCCTATGTGAGGGACAAACATTCAGTCCACAGCAGCAGTGTTCTGGACTGCTATGTGAGGGGCCAACATTCAGACCATAGCAGGAGATTTCTGGAGTCCTATGTGAGGGATAAACATTTAGACCACAGCAGGAGTGTAACAGAACCCTACATGAGGGACAAACATTCAGACCACGGCAAGATTGTTCTGGAATGCTCTCTGAGGGACAAACATTGAGACCTCAGCAGCAGTGTTCTGGAATCCTATGTGATGGACAAACATTCAGCTCACAGCAGGAGTGTTCTGAAATCCTATGTGAGGGACAGACATTTGGACCCCATCAGCAGTGTTCTGGAATCCTATTTGAGGGACAAACACTCAGAACCCAGCAGCAGTATTCTGGAATCCTAAGTGAGGGACAAATATTCAGACCCTCTTAGCAGTGTTCTGGAATCCTATGTGAATGACAAACGCTCAGAATCCAGCACCACTGTTCTGAAATCATATGTGAAGGACAAACCTTCAGACCAGAGCAGTAGTGCTGTGGAATTTTATGTTAGAGACAAACATTCAGACTCCAGCAGCAGTGTTCTTGAATGCTATCTGAGGGACAAACATTCTAACCACAGCAGGAGTGCTATGGAGACGTATGTGAGGGACAAAAATTCAGAACACAGCAGGAGTGTTCTGGAATCCTATTTGAGGGAAAATCTTTCATACCCTCATAGCAGTGTTCTGGAATCCTATTTGAGGGAAAAAAATCTCAGAATCTAGGAGCAGTGTTCTGGAATCCTATGTGAGGGAAAAACATTCAGTCCGCAGCAGCAGTCTTCTGGAATGCTATGTGAGGGACAAACATTCAGATCATAGCAGAATTGTTCTGGAATCCTATGTGAGGGACAAACAGTCAGACCACAGCAGCAGTGTTATGGAATCCTATGTGAGGGACAAATATTCAGACCACAGCAGGAGTGTTCTGGAATGCTGTCTGAGGAACAAACATTGAGACCCCAGCAGCAGTGCTCTGGAATATCATTTAATGGACAAACATTCAGAGCCTTGTAGCAGTGTTCTGGAATCCTATGTGTGGGACAAACACTCAGAACCCAGCAGCAGTATTCTGGAATCCTAAGTGAGGGACAAATATTCAGACCCTCTTTGCAGTGTTCTGGAATCCTATGTGAATGACAAATGCTCAGAATCCATCACCACTGTTCTGAAATCCTATGTGAAGAACAAACCTTCAGACCAGAGCAGTAGTGCTGTGGAATTGTATGTTAGAGACAAACATTCAGACTCCAGCAGCAGTGTTCTTGAATGCTATCTGAGGGACAAACATTATAACCACAGCATGAGTGTTATGGAGACGTATGTGAGGGACAAATATTCAGAACACAGCAGGAGTGTTCTGGAATCCTATGTGAGGGACAAATTTTCAGAACACTGCAGGAGTGTTGTGAAATCCTATGTGAGGGACAAACTTTGAAACCAAAGCAAGAGTGTTCTGGAGTCCTATGTGAGTGTCAAACATTCAGACAACAGCAGGGGTGTTCTGGAATCCTATGTGAGGAACAAACATTCAGGCCACAGTAGGAGTGTTCTGGAATCCTATGTCAGGGACAAAGATTCATACCCTCTTAACAATGTTCTGGAATCCTATGTGAGGGACAAACATTTAGACACCAGCAGCAGTGTTCTATAATCCTCTGTGAGGGTAAAACATTCATACCCTCGTAGTGGTGTTCTGGAATCCTCTGTGAGGGAATAAAACTGAAAATCCAGGAGCAGTGTTCTGGAATCCTATGGGAGGGACAAATATTCACTCCACAGCAGGAGTGTTCTGGAGTCCTATGTGAGGGACAAACATTCAGACCCTTGTAACCGTGTTCTGGAATTCTATGTGAGGGACATTCAGACCCCAGCAGCAGTGTTCTTGAATGCCATGTGAGGGACAAACACTCAGACTCGAGCAGCAGTTTTCTGGAATCTTATTTCAGGATCAAATATTCGGACCCTCCTAGCAGTGTTCTGGAATCCTATGTGAGGGACAAACATTCAGAAGACAGCAGGAGTATTCTGAAATCTTATGTCAGGAACAAACAGACCACAGCAGGAGTGTTCTGGAATCCCATGTGAGGGAGCAACATTCAGACCTTCGTAGCAGTGTTCTGGAATCCTATGTGAGGGACAAACATTAGAACCATGTAGCTGTGTTCTGGAAGCCTTCGTGAGGTACAAACATTCAGCACCCAACAGCAGTGTTCTGGAATCCTAAGTGAGGGACAAATATTCAGACCAAAACAGGAGTGTTCTGGAATCCTATGTGCAGGACACACATTCATACCCCATAGCAGTGTTCTAGAATCCTATCTGAGGGACAAAGATTTATACCCACGCAGCAGTGTGATATGAGCACAGCAGGAATGATCTGGAATCCTATGTGAGGGACAAACATTCACACCACATCAGGAGCGTTCTGGAATCCTATGTGAGGGACAAATATTCAGATGACAGCAGGAGTGTTCTGAAATCCTAAGTGAGGAACAAGCATTTACACCACAGCAGGAGTGTTCTGAAATCCTATGTAAGGAACAAACATTTAGACCACTGCAGGAGAATTCTGGAATCCTATATGCCGGACAAACATTCAGACGACAGCAGAATGGTTCTGAAATCCTATGTAAGGAGCAAACAGTTAGACCACAGGAGGAGTGATATGGAATCCTATGTTAGGGACAAACATTCAGACCCTGGTAGCAGTGTTCTGGATTCCTATGTGAGTAACACACTTTTAGACCCAAGTGGCAATGTTCTGGAATTGTACGTGAGGGACAAATAATCAGGACCCAACTGCAGTGTTCTGGAATTCTGAGTGAGGGACAAACAGTCAGTGCACAGCAGGGGTGTTCTGCAATCCTCTGTGAAGGACAGACATTCAGACGACAGTAGGAATGTTCTGAAATCCTATGTGAGGTACAAACATTTATACCACAGCAGGAGTGTTCTGGAATTTTATGTGTGGGACAAACATTCAGACCCTCATAGCAGTGTTTTGGAATCCTATACGAGGGAGAATCATTTAGACCCACATAGCTGTGTTCTTGAATCTTACGTGAGGGACACACAGTCAGAACCCAACAGCAATGTCTCTGGAATCCTACGTGAGGTACAAACATTCAGATGACAGCAGGAGTATTCTGAAATCATAAGTGAGGAACAAACATTTCGACCACAGCAGGAGTGTTCAGGAATCCTATGTGAGAGACAAACACTCAGACAACAGCAGGAGTGTTCTGGAATCCTACGTGAGGTTCAGTCATTCATGCCCTCGTAGCAGTGTTCTGGAATCTTATCTGAGGGAGAAACACTCAGAACCCAGTAGCAGTGCTCTGGAATCGAATGTCAGGGACAGTCATTCAGACCACAGCTGGGGTGTCCTGGAATCCTACACGTGGGACAAACATTCAGACACTTGTAGCATTGTTCTGGAATCCTATGTGAGGGACAAACATTCAGAACACAGCAGGAGTGTTGTTGAGTCCTACGTGCGGGACAAACATGCAGACTCTCGTAGCATGGTTCTCGAATCCTATGTGAGGGACAAATATTTAGACCCACCTAGCAGTGTTCTTGAATCGTACGTGAGGGACAAACACTCAGAACCCAAAAACAGTTTTCTGGAACCCTAAAGGAGGGAGAAACATTCAATCCACAGCAGGAGTGTAGTGGTATCCTATGTGAGGGACAAACATTCAGACGACAGCAGGAATGTTCTGAAATCCTTAGTGAGGAACAAACATTTAGACCACAGCAGGAGTTTTCTGGAATCCTATGTGAGGGATAAACATTCAGACATTGACAAGAGTGTTCTGCAATCCTATGTGACGTACATTCAGACCCTCGTAGCAGTGTTCTGGAATCCTATGTGAGGGAGAAACATTCAGAACCCAGCAACAGTGTTCTGGAATCTTATGTGAGGGACAATCATTCAGACCACAGGTGGGGTGTTCTGGATTCCTACGTGTGGGGCAAACGTCCAGACCCTCGGATAATTGTTCTGGAATCCTATGTGAGGGACATTTAGAACAAAGCAGGAGTGTTGTGGAGTCCTATGTGAGGAAAAACTTTCAGACCCTCGTAGCAATATTCTGGAATCCTATGTGAGGGACAAACATTCAGACCCTCCTAGCAGTGTTCTGGAATCCTAGGTGAGGTACAATCATTCAGAACCTCGTAGCAGTGTTCTGGAATCCAATGTGAGGGAGAAACACTCAGAACCCACCAGCAGTGTTCTGGAATCCTATGAGAGGGACAATCTTTCAGACCAATACTGGGGTGCTCTGAAATCCTAAGTGTGGGATAAACATTCAGACACTCGTAGCATTCTTGTGGAATCTTATGTGAGGGACAAACATTCAGATGACAGCAGGAGTGTTCTAAAATTGTAGGTTAGGAACAAACATTTAGACCACAGCAGGAGTGTTCAGCAATCCTATGTGAGGGACAAACACTCAGACAATTGCAGGAGTGTTCTGGAATCCTATGTGAGGTTCAGTCATTGATACCCTCATATCAGTGTTCTGGAATCCTATCTAAGTGAGAAACACTCAGAACCCAGCGGCAGTGTTTGGGAATTGCACGTCAGGGACAGTCATTCAGACCACAGCTGGGGTGTTCTGGACCCTACGTGTGGGACAAACATTCAGACCATCGTAGCATTGTTCTGAAATCCTATGTGAGAGACAAACATTCAGAACACAGAAGGAGTGTTCTGAAGTCCTATGTGCGGGATAAAAGTTCAGACCCTCGTAGCTGTGTCTGGAATCCTATGTGAGGGACAAACATTTAGACCCACGTGGCAGTGTTCTTGAATCGTACCTGAGGGACAAACACTCAGAACCCAACAACAGTGTTCTGGAATCCTAAGCGAGGGACAAAAATTCAGACCACAGCAGGAGTGTTCTGGAGTCCTATGTGAGGGACTAACATTCTGAAGACAGCAGGAGTGTTCTGTAATCCTACGTGAGGAACAAGCATTTAGAACACAGCTGGAGTGTTCTGGAATCCTATGTGAGGGACATAAATTCAGACGACAGCAGGATTGTTCTGAAACTCTGTGTGAGGAACAAACATTTAGACCACTGCAGGAGTGTTCTGGAATCCTATGTGCGGGACAAACATTCAGACCCTCGCAGCAGTATTCTGGAATCCTTTGTGAGGGACAAACATTCAGAACACAGCAGGAGTGTTCTGGAGTCCTATGTGTGGTACAAATATTTCGTCCCTCGTAGCAGCGTCTGGAATCATATGTGAAGGACAAACATTCAGACCCACGTGGCTGTGTTCTGGAATCGTACAAGAAGGACAAAGACTCAGAACACAACAGCAGTGTTCTGGAATCCTAAGTGAGGAACAAACTTTCAGACCACAGCAGGAGTGTTTTGGAATCCCATGTGAGGGACAAACCTTCTGAAGACAGCAGGGGTGTTCTGAAATCCTACCTGAGAAACAAACATTTAGATCACAGCTGGAGTGCTCTGGAATTCTATGTGAGGGACAAACATTCAGACGACAGCAAGATTGTTCCGAAATCCTTTGTGAGGAACAAACATTTAGAACACAGCAGGAGTGTTCTGGAATCCTATGTGCAAGACAAACATTCACAACTTCGTAGCAGTGTTCTGGAATCCTATCTGAGGGAAGAACATTCAGACCCACGTAACAGTGTTCTGGAATCCTACGTGAGGGACAAACACTCAAAACAGCAGTGTTCTGGAATCCTAAGAGAGGGACATACATTCAGTCCACAGCAGTAGTGTTGTGGAATCCTATGTGAGGGACAAAAATTCAGACGACAGCAGCAGTGATCTCAAATAATATGTGAGGAACAAACTTTTAGACCACAGCAGGAGTGATCTGAAACCCGTGTGAGGAACAAACATTTAGACCACAGCAGGAGTGTTGTGGAATCCTATGTGGGGGACAAACATTCAGATCCTCGTAGCAGTATTCTGGAATCCTATGTGAGGCACAAACCTTTAGACCCACGTAGCAGTGTTCTGGAATCCTACATGTGGGACAAACACTGAGAACCCAAGAGCAGTGTTCTGGAATCCTAAGTGAGGGACAAACATTCACTCCACAACAAGGGTGCTCTGGAATCCTAAGTGAGTCACAAACATTCAGACGACAGTAGGAGTCCTCTGAAATCTAATGTGAGGAACAAACATTTATACCACAGCAGAAGTGTGCTGGAATGTTATGTGCGGGACAAATATTCAGAAACTCAAAGCAGTGTTCTCGAATCCTATGTGAGGGAGAATCATTTCGACCCATGTATCTGTGTTCTGGAATCCTACATGAGGGAAAAACATTCAGAACCCAACAGGAGGAGTGTTCTGGAATCCTATGTGAAGTACAAATATTCAGATGACAGCAGGAGTGTTCTGAAATCCTATGCGAGGAACAAACATTTAGACCACAGCAGTTGTGTTCGGGAATACTATATGAGGGACAAACCCTCAGACAATAGCACGAGTGTTCTGGAATCCTATGTGAGGTTCAGTCATTCATCCCCTCGTAGCAGTGTTCTGGAATCTTATGTGAGGGAGAAACACACAGAACCCTGCAGCAATGTTCTGGAATCGTATGTCAGGGACAATCATTCACACCACAGCTAAGGTGTTCTGGAATCCAACATGTGGGACAAACATTCAGACCCTCGTAGCATTGTTCTAGAATCCTATGTGAGGGAGAAACATTCAGAAAACAGCAGAAGTGTTCTGGAGTCCTATGTGCGGGACAAACTTTCAGACCCTCGTAGCAGCGTTCTGGAATCCTATGTGAGGGCCAAATATTAGACCCACATGGCAGTGTTCTGGATTCGTACGTGAGGGACATATACCCAGTTACCACAATACAACAATTTTCCCCTGCCACAAGCTGCAGTGCAGAAGTAGATTTATGTACTATACAAGCAGTCTCTCTGCTTCCAGGGGAACCCCCAAACAAAAAATCCCCACAGGGGTATGTGGCCCACTGCCTGAGGGGACTGTAGGACTAATCTTGGGAAGATCAAGTCTAAATCTAAAGGGAGTTCAAATTCATACTGGTGTGGTTGATTCAGATTATAAAGGCGAAATTCAATTGGTTATTAGCTCTTCAATTCCTTGGAATGCCAGTCCAGGATACAGGATTGCTCAATTATGACTCCTGCCTTATATTAAGGTTGGAAATAGTGAAATAAAAAGAACAGGAGTGTTTGGAAGCACTGATCTGACAGGAAAGGCTGCATATTGGGCAAGTCAGGTCTCAGAAAACAGACCTGTGTGTAAGGCCATTATTCAAGGAAAACAGTTTGAAGGGTTAGTAGACACTGGAGCAGATGTCTCTATCATTGCTAAAGCAAATCACTGGCCAAAAAATTGGCCTAAGCAAAAGGCTGTTACAGGACTTGTCGGCGTAGGCACAGCCTCAGAAGTGTATCAAAGTACTGAGATTTTACATTGTTTAGGGCCAGATAATCAAGAAAGTACTGTTCAGCCAATGATTACTTCAATTCCTCTTAATCTGTGGGGTCGAGATTTATTACAACAATGGGGTGCGGAAATCACTATGCCCACTCCATTATATAGCCCCACGAGTCAAAAAATCATGACCAAGATGGGATGTATACCAGGAAAGGGACTAGGAATAAAATGAAGATGGCATTAAAGTTCCAGTTGAGGCTAAAATAAATCAAGAAAGAGAAGGAATTAGGGTATCCTTCTTAGGGGCGGCCACTGTAGAGCCTCCTAAACCCATAGCATTAACTTGGAAAAGAGAAAAACCGGTGTGGGTGAATCAGTGGCTGCTACCAAAACAAAAACTGGAGGCTTTACATTTATTAGCAAATGAACAGTTAGGAAAGGGACATATTGAGCCTTCATTCTCGCCTTGGAATTCTCCTGTGTTTGTAATTCAGAAGAAATCTGGCAAATGGCGTATGTTAACTGACTTAAGGGCCATAAACGCCGTAATTCAACCCATGGGGCCTCTCCAACCCTGGTTGCCCTCTCCGGCCATGATCCCAAAAGACTGGCCTTTAATTATAATTGATCTAAAGGATTGCTTTTTTACCATCCCTCTGGCAGAGCAGGATTGTGAAAAATTTGCCTTTACTATACCAGCCATAAATAATAAAGAACAAGCCACCAGGTTTCAGTGGAAAGTGTTACCTCAGGGAATGCTTAATAGTCCAACTATTTGTCAGACTTTTGTAGGTCGAGCTCTTCAACCAGTTAGAGACAAGTTTTCAGACTGTTATATCATTCATTATTTTGATGATATTTTATGTGCTGCAGAAACAAGAGATAAATTAATTGACTGTTATACATTTCTACAAGCAGAGGTTGCCAACGCAGGACTGGCAATAGCATCTGATAATATCCAAACCTCTACTCCTTTTCATTATTTAGGGATGCAGATAGAAAATAGAAAAATTAAGCCACAAAAAATAGAAATAAGAAAAGACACATTAAAAACACTAAATGATTTTGAAAAATTGCTAGGAGATATTAATTGGATTCGGCCAACTCTAGGCATTCCTACTTATGCCATGTCAAATTTGTTCTCTATCTTAAGAGGAGACTCAGATTTAAATAGTAAAAGAATGTTAACCCCAGAGGCAACAAAAGAAATTAAATTAGTGGAAGAAAAATTTCAGTCAGTGCAAATAAATAGAATAGATCCCTTAGCCCCACTCCAACTTTTGATTTTTGCTACTGCACATTCTCCAACAGGCATCATTGTTCAAAATACTGATCTTGTGGAGTGGTCATTCCTTCCTCACAGTACAGTTAAGACGTTTAAATTGTATTTGGATCATATAGCTACATTAATTGGTCAGACAAGATTACGAATAATAAAATTATGTGGAAATGACCCAGACAAAATAGTTGTCCCTTTAACCAAGAAACAAATTAGACAAGCCTTTATCAATTCTGGTGCATGGCAAATTGATCTTGCTAATTTTGTGGAAATTGTTTATTATCATTACCCGAAAACAAAAATCTTCCAATTTTTTAAAATTAACTACTTGGATTCTACCTAAAATTACCAGATGTGAACCTTTAGAAAATGCTCTAACACTATTTACTGATGGTTCCAGCAATGGAAAAGCAGCTTACACAGGGCCAAAAGAAAGAGTAATCACAGCTCCATTTCAATCGGCTCAAAGAGCAGAGTTGGTTGCAGTCATTACAGTGTTCCAAGATTTTGATCAACCTATCAATATTATATCAGATTCTGCATATGTAGTACAGGCTACAAGGGATGTTGAGACAGCTCTAATTAAATATAGCATGGACGATCAGTTAAACCAGATATTCAGTTTATTACAACAAACTGTAAGAAAAAGAAATTTCCCATTTTATATTACTCATATTCGAGCACACACTAATTTACCAGGGCCTTTGACTAAAGCAAATGAACAAGCTGACTTACTGGTATCATCTGCATTCATAAAAGCACAAGAACTTCATGCTTTGACTCATGTAAATGCAGCAGGATTAAAAAACAAATTTGATGTCACATGGAAACAGGCAAAAGATATTGTACAACATTGCACCCAGTGTCAAGTCTTACACCTGCCCACTCAAGAGGCAGGAGTTAATCCCAGCGGTCAGTGTCCTAATGCATTATGGCAAATGGATGTCACACATGTACCTTCATTTGGAAGATTATCATATGTTCATGTAACAGTTAAAACTTATTCACATTTCATATGGGCAAGTTGCCAAACAGGAGAAAGTACTTCCCGTGTTAAAAAACATTTATTTTCTTGTTGTACTGTAATGGGAGTTCCAGAAAAAATCAAAACTGACAATGGACCAGGATATTGTAGTAAAGCTTTCCAAAAATTCTCAAGTCAATGGAAAATTTCACATACAACAGGAATTCCTTATAATTCCCAAGGACAGGCCATAGTTTAAAGAACTAATAGAACACTCAAAACTCAATTAGTTAAACAAAAAGAAGGGGGAGACAGTAAGGAGTGTACCACTCCTCAGATGCAACTTAATCTAGCACTCTATACTTTAAATTTTTTAAACATTTATAGAAATCAGACTACTACTTCTGCAGAACAACATCTTACTGGTAAAAAGAACAGCCCACATGAAGGAAAACTGATTTGGTGGAAAGATAATAAAAATAAGACATGGGAAATAGGGAAAGTAATAACGTGGGGGAGAGGTTTTGCTTGTGTTTCACCAGGAGAAAATCAGCTTCCTGTTTGGATACCTACTAGACATTTGAAGTTCTACAATGAACCCATCAGAGATGCAAAGAAAAGCGCCTCCACGGAGACGGTAACACCACTCACATGGATGGATAATCCTATAGAATTAAATGTTAAGGATAGTGTATGGGTACCTGGCCCCACAGATGATCACTGCCCTGCCAAACCTGAGGAAGAAGGGATGATGATAAATATTTCCATTGGGTATCGTTATCCTCCTATTTGCCTAGGAAGAGCACCAGGATGCTTAATGCCTGCATTCCAAAATTGGTTGGTAGAAGTACCTACTGCCGGTCCTAACAGTAGACTCACTTATCACATGGTAAGCGGGATGTCACTCAGGCCACGGGTAAATTATTTACAAGACTTTTCTTATCAAAGATCATTAAAATTTAGACCTAAAGGGAAACCTTGCCCCAAGGAAATTCCCAAAGGATCAAAAAATACAGAAGTTTTAGTTTGGGAAGAATGTGTGGCCAATAGTGCGGTGATATTACAAAACAATGAATTCCGAACTGTTATAGATTGGGCACCTCGAGGTCAATTCTACCACAATTGCTCAGGACAAACTCAGTCATGTCCAAGTGCACAAGTGAGTCCAGCTGTTGATAGCGACTTAACAGAAAGTCTAGACAAACATAAGCATAAAAAATTACAGTCTTTCTACCCTTGGGTATGGGGAGAAAAAGGAATCTCTACCCCAAGACCAAAAATAATAAGTCCTGTTTCTGGTCCTGAACATCCAGAATTGTGGAGGCTTACTGCAGCCTCATACCACATTAGGATTTGGTCTGGAAATCAAACTTTAGAAACAAGAGATCGTAAGCCATTTTATACTATCTACCTAAATTCCAGTCTAACGGTTCCTTTACGAAGTTGTGTAAAGCCCCCTTATATGCTAGTTGTAGGAAATATAGTTATTAAACCAGACTCTCAAACTAAAACCTGTGAAAATTGTAGATTGTTTACTTGCATTGATTCAACTTTTAATTGGCAACACCGTATTCTGCTGGTGAGAGCAAGAGAAGGCGTGTGGATCCCTGTGTCCATGGACCGACCATGGGAGGCCTCGCCATCCATCCATATTTTGACTGAAGTATTAAAAGGCGTTTTAAATAGATCCAAAAGATTCATTTTTACTTTAATTGCAGTGATTATGGGATTAATTGCAGTCACAGCTATGGCTGCTGTGGCAGGAGTTGCATTGCACTCTTCTGTTCAGTCAGTAAAATTTGTTAATGATTGACAAAAAAATTCTACATGATTGTGGAATTCACAATCTGGTATTGATCAAAAATTGGCAAATCAAATTAATGATCTTAGACAAACTGTCATTTGGATGGGAGACAGACTCATGAGCTTAGAACATCGTTTCCAGTTACAGTGTGACTGGAATACATCAGATTTTTGTATTACACCCCAAATTTATAATGAGTCTGAGCATCACTGGGACATGGTTAGACGTCATCTACAGGGAAGAGAAGATAATCTCACTTTAGACATTTCCAAGTTAAAAGAACAAATTTTCAAAACATCAAAGCCCATTTAAATTTGGTGCCAGGAACTGAGGCAATTGCAGGAGTTGCTGATGGCCTCGCAAATCTTAACCCTGTCACTTGGGTTAAGACCATCAGAAGTACTACGATTGTAAATCTCATATTAATCCTTGTGTGCCTGTTTTGTCTGTTGTTGGTCTGCAGGTGTACCCAACAGCTCGGAAGAGACAGAGACCATCGAGAACGGGCCATGATGACGATGGCGGTTTTGTCGAAAAGAAAAGGGGGAAATGTGGGGAAAAGCAAGAGAGATCAGATTGTTACTGTGTCTGTGTAGAAAGAAGTAGACATAGGAGACTCCATTTTGTTCTGTACTAAGAAAAATTATTCTGCCTTGAGATTCTGTTAATCTATGACCTTACCCCCAACCCCGTGCTCTCTGAAATATGTGCTGTGTCAAACTCAGGGTTAAATGGATTAAGTATTGTGCAAGATGTGCTTTGTTAAACAGTTGCTTGAAGGCAGCATGCTCCTTAAGAGTCATCACTACTCCCTAATCTCAAGTACCCAGGGACACAAAAACTGCTGAAGGCCGCAGGGACCTCTGCTTAGGAAAGCCAGATATTGTCCAAGGTATATCCCCATGGGATAGTCTGAAATATGGCCTTATGGGAAGGGAAAGACCTGACCGTCCCCCAGCCCGACAACCGTAAATGGTCTGTGCTGAGGAGGATTAGTATAAGAGGAAGGCATGTCTCTTGCAGTTGAGACAAGAGGAAGGCATCTGTCTCCTGCCCGTCCATGGGCAATGGAATGTCTCGGTATAAAACCCGATTGTACGTCCCATCTACTGAGATAGGGAAAAAACGCCTTAGGGCTGGAGGTGGGACATGCGGGCAGCAATACTGCTTTGTAAAGCATTGAGATGTTTATGTGTATGCATATCTAAAAGCACAGCACTTGATTCTTTACCTTGTCTATGATGCAAAGACCTTTGTTCACGTGTTTGTCTGCTGACCCTATCCCCACTATTGTCTTGTGACCCTGACACATCACCCTCTCGGAGAAACACCCACAAATGATCAATAAATACTAAGGGAACTCAGAGGCTGGCGGGATCCTCCATATGCTGAACGCTGGTTCCCTGGGTCCCCTTATTTCTTTCTCTATATTTTGTCTCTGTGTCTTTTTCTTTTCCATGTCTCTCATTCCACCTAACAAGAAAAACCCACAGGTGTGGAGGGGCAACCCACCCCTTCAGAATTCTATGTGAGGGAGAAAATTCAGACCCCAGCAGCAGTGTTCTGGAATCCGACGTGAGGGACAATCACTCAGACACTCGTATCAGTGTTCTGCAATTCTGTGTGAGGACGAACATTCAGACCACAACAGGGATGTTCTGGAATCCTATGTGAGGGACAAACATTCGGACCCCAGATGTAGTGTTTTCGAATACTATGTGTGGGACAAACATTCAAACAACGGCGGGAGAATTATGGAATTCTATGTTTCGGACAAACATTCAGACCCTCGTAGCATTGTTCTGGAATCCTATGTGACGGACTAACATTTAGACCCTGCAGCAGTGTTCTGGAAACCTATGTGATGGACATGCATGTAGACCCCAGCAGCAGTGTTCTGGAATCCTATGTGATTGACAAATGTTCAGACCCCCGCAGCAGTGTTCTGGAATCCTATGTGATTTGCAATCATTCAGACCCTCATAGCAGTGCTCTGGAATTCTGTGTGAGGGACAAGCATTCAGACCCTCTTAGAAGTTTTCTGGAATCCTATGTGAGGGACAAACATTCAGACCCCTGCAGCAGTGTTCTGGCATCGATGTAAGGGACAATCATTCAGACCCACACAGCACTGTTCTGGAATTCTGCTTCAGGGCCAACATTCAGACCACAAAAGGAGTGTTCTGGAATCACCTGTGAGGAACAAACTTTCAGAACCCCGTAGCAGTGTTCTGGAATCCTATGTGTCAGACAAACATTTAAACCCCAGCAACAGTGTTCTGGAATCTTATGTGAGGGAGAAATATTCAGACAATCGTAGCAGTGTTCTGGAATCCTGTGTAAGGGACAAACTTTCTGATCCAAGCAGCAGTGTTCTGGAATCCTATGTGAGGGACAAACATTCAAACAACAGCGGGAGTGTTCTGGAATCCTATGTTACAGACAAACATTCAGGTTCTCGTCACAGTGTTCTAGAATTCTCTGTGAGGGAGAAACACTCAGAACCCAGCTGCAGTGTTCTGGAATCCTATGTAGTGGACATACATGTAGACCCCAGAAGCAGTGCTGTGGAATGCTGCGTGAGGAACAATCATTCAGACCCCAGCAGCAGTGTTCTGGAATATTGCTTGAGGGACAATCATTCAGACCCTCGTAGCAGTGTTCTGGAGTCCAGTGTGAGGGACAAATATTCAGATCACAACAGGAGTATTCTGGAATCCCCTATGAAGAACAAACATTCAGGCTATCGTAGCAGTGTTCTGGAATCCTATGTGACTGACAAACATTGAGACCCCAGCAGCAGTGTTCTGGAGTGCTACGTGAGGGACAAACATTCAGACACTAGTAGCAGTGTTCTGGAATCCTATGTGAGGGACAAACACTAAGAACCCAGCAGCATTTTTCTGGGTCCCTATGTGAGGGACAAATACTCGGAACACAGCTTCAGTGTTTTGCCATTTTATGTGAGGGACAAACATTCAGACCCTCATAGAAGTGTTCTGGAATCCTATGTGAGGGACAAACTTTCCGACAATTATAACAGAGTTCTGTAATCCTACGTTAAGGACAAATATTCAGACACTCGTAACAGTGTTCTGGAATCGTATGTGAGGGACACACATTCAGACAATTGTAGCAGTGTTTTGGAATCCTATGTGAGGGACAAACATTCAGAAGCCAGCACAAGTGTTCTGGAATCTTCTGTGAGGGAAAAACATTCAATCAACAGCGGGAGTGTTCTGGAATCCTATGTTATGGACAAACATTCAGATGCTCATCGCAGTGTTCTGAAATTGTATGTGAGGGAGGAACACTGAGAACCCAGCAGCAGTTTTCTGGAATCCTATATGATGGATGTACTTGTAGACCCCAGCAGCAGTGTTCTAGAATCCTATGTGAGGGACAAACATTCAGACCTTCGTCGAATTGTTCTGGAATCCTATAAGAGGGACAAACACTCAGAAACCAGCAGCAGCATTCAGGAACCCTATGTGAGGGACAAACATTCAGACAACAGCAGGATTGTTCTGGACTCCTATGTGAGTAACATACACTCAGAAAACAGCAGGAGTGTTTTGGAATCCTATGTAAGGGACAAACATTCAGATCCTCATAGCAGTGTCCTGGATTTCTGCGTGAGGGACAAACATTCAGACCCCCATAGCAGTGTTCTGGAATCCTATGTTAGAGAGAAACATTCAGACCACAGCAGGAGTGTTCTGGAATCTCCTGTGAGGAACAAACATTCAGACTCCCCTAACAGTGTTCTGAAATCTTATGTGACTGACAAACATTTAGACGCCAGCAGCAGTATTCTGGAATGCAATGTGAGGGACAAATATTGAGACCCTCGTAGCAGTGTTCTGGTATCCTATCTGAGAGACAAACTCTCAGAACCAAGCAGCGGTGTTCTGGAAAATTATGTAAGGGATAAGGATTCAGACCAGATCTGGTATGCTCTGGAATTCTATGTGAGGAACAAACTCTCAGAATACTGCAGGAGTGTTTTGGAATCCTATGTGAGGGACAAACATTCAGACCCTCGTAGCAGTGTTCTGGAATCCCATGTGATTGACATTCAGACCACAGCAGGAGTGTTCTGGAATCCCCTGTGAGGACCCAACATTCAGACCTCTGTAGCAGTGTTCTGGAATCCTAAGTGAGAGACAAACATTTAGACCCCAGCAGCAATGTTCTGGAATCCTATGTGAGGGACAAACATTCAGACCCTCGAAGCAGTGTTCTGGAATCCAATGTGTGGGATAAACATTCAGACAATAGTAGCAGTGTTCTGTAATCCAATGTGAGGGACACACATTCAGGCCCTCGTCGGAATGCTTTGAATTCTATGTGAGGGACAAACACTGAGACAATCTTAGTACTATTCAGGAATCCTCTGTGAGGTACAAATTTTTAGACCACAGCAGAAGTGTTCTGCAATCCTATTTGAGGGACAAACATTCAAACAACAGAGGGAATCTTCTGGAATCCTATGTTACGGACCAACATTCAGACCCTCGTTGCAGTGTTCTGAAATTCTATGTGAGGGAGAAACAAGTAGAACCTATCAGCTGTGTTCTGGAATCCTGTGGGGGGGACATACATGTAGACACCAGCAGCGGTGTTCTGGAATCCTATGTGAGGGACAAACATTCAGAACCGAGCAGCAGTGTTCTGGAACTCTGTATGAGGGACAAACATTAAGAACACGGCAGGATTGTTCTGCAATCCTATGTGAGGGAGAAACACTCTGAAAACCGTAAGTGTGTTTTGGAATCCTACATGAGGGCCAAACAATCAAACCCTCATAGCTGTGTTCCGGAATCCTATGTGAGGGGCAAACACTCAGACAATCGTAGCAGTTTTCTGGAATCCTTTGTGAGGGACAAGCATTCATTCCCTCGTAGCGGTGTTCGGGAACCCTGTATGAGGGACAAACATTCAGACCACACCGTTCTGGAATCCCCTCTGTGGGAAAAACATTCAGACCCTCGTGGCAGTGTTCTGGAATCCTATGTGACGGACAAAGATTTAGACCACAGCAGCAGTGTTCTGAAATCCTATGTGAGGGACATTCAGACCCTCTTAGCAGTTTTCTGGAATCTTATGTGAGGGACAATCATTCAGACCTCAGCAGGAGTGTTCTGGAAAACCCATGTGAGGGACAAACACTCAGACTACAGCAGGAGTGTTCTGGAATCCCCTGTGAGGGACAAACATTCAGACTGTCGTAGGGGTGTTCTGCAATCCTATGTGACGAACAAACATATAGAATCCAGCAGCATTGTTCTGGAATCCTATGTAGGAGACAAACATTCAGACAATAGTAGCAGTGTTCTGGAATCCTATGTGAGGGGCAAACATTCAGACCACAGCAGCAGTGTTCTGGAATCCTATGTGAGGGACAAACATTCAAACAACAGCGAGAGTGTTCTGGAATCCTAAGTTATGGACAAACACTCAGACCCTCGTGGCAGTGTTCTGGAATTCTATGTGATGGAGAAACACTCAGAATCCAGCAGCAGTGTTCTGGAATCCTATATGACGGAGATACACGTACACCCCAGCAGCAGTGTCCTGGAATCCTATGTGAGAGACAAACTTTCAGACCCCAGGAGCAGAGTTCTGGAATCCTACATGAGGGATAAACATTCAGACCCTCTTAGCAGTTTTCTTAATCACTATGTCAGGGACAAAGATTCAGACCTCAGCACCATTGTTCTGGAATCCTACATGAGGCTCAAACATTCAGACCCTCGTTGCAGTCTTCTGGAATCCTGTGTAAGAGACAATCATTCAGACAACAGCAGGAGTCTTCTGGAATTCCCTGTGAGAAATAAACACTCAGATCCTCCTAGCAGTGTTCTGGAAACCTATATGACGGACAAACATTTAGACAACTGAAGCAGTGTTATGGAATCACATATGAGAGACAGACATTCAGAAACTTGTACCAGAGTTCTGGAATCCTTTGAGAGGGACAAACATTCAGAACCCAGCAGAAATGTTCCGGAATCCTATGTGAGGGACAAGCATTCAGACACTGGTAGCAGTGTTCTGGAATCCTAAGTGAGAGACAAACACTCCGAACCCAGCAGCATTGTTCTGGAACCCTATGTGAGGGAAAAACATTCATACCACAGAAAGATTGCCTTCGAATCCTATGAGAGGGACAAACACTCAGAACACAGCAGGAGTGTGTTGGAATCCTATGTGAAGGAAAAACATTGAGACCCTCGTAGCAGTGTTCTGGAATCCTATGTGAGGGACAAACATTCAGATCCTCGAAGCAGTGTTCTGGAATCTAATGTGAGGGATAAACATTCAAATAACAGCGGGAGTGTTCTGAAATCCTGTGTTACGGACAAATATTCAGACCATCGTGGCAGTGTTCTGGAATTCTATGTGAGGTAGAAACATTCAGAACACAGCAGCAGTGTTCTGGAAACCTATGCGACGGACATACATGCAGACCCCTGCAGGGGGGTTCTGGAATCCTATGTGAGGGACAAACATTCAGAAGCCTGCAGCAGTGTTATGGAATCTTATGTGAGGGACAATCATTCAGACTCTCGTAGCAGTGTTCTGGAATTCTGTGTGAGGGTAAAACATTCAGAACCTCATAGCAATTTTCTGAAATCCTATGTGAGGGACAAACATTCAGAACACAGCAGGAGTGTTCTCAAATCCTCTGTGAGGGAAAATCATTCCGACCCTCATAGCAGTGTTCTGGAATCCTGTGTGAGGGACAAACATTCAGACCCCAACAACAGTGTTCTGTAATCCTATGTGTTGGACAATCATTCAGAACCCCATAGCAGTGCTCTGGAATTCTGTGTGAGGGACAAATATTCAAGCTGTCATTGCAGTGTTCTGGAATCCCGTGTGAGGGACAAACATTCAGACACTGGTAGCAGTGTTCTGGAATCCAACGTGAGGGACAAACATTCAGACAACAGCAGGATTGTTCTGGAATCCTATGTGAGGGACAAGCATTCAGACAATCGTAGCAGTGTTCTGGAATCCCATGTGAGGGACAAACATTCAGACCTTCATAGCAGTGTTCTGGAATGGTATGTGATGGACAAACATTCAGACAATCATAGCATTGTTCTGGAATCCTATGTGAGGGACAAGCATTCAGACAATCGTAGCAGTGTTCTGTAATCCCCTGTGAGGAACAAACGTTCAGACAGTCGTAGCATTGTTCTGGAATATTATGTGAGGGACAAACATTCAGACAATTGTAGCAGTGTTCCGGAATCCTATGTGAGGGACAAACATTCAAACAACAGCGGGATTGTTCAGGAATCCTATGTTATGGACAAACATTCTGACCCTCGTAGCGGTGTTCTGGAATTCTATGTGAGGGAGAAACACTCAGAACCCAACATCAGTGTTCTGGAATCCTATGCGACGGACATACCTGTAGACCCCAGCAGCTCTATTCTAGAATCCTATGTGAGAGACAAACATTACGACCCCAGCAACAGTGTTCTGGAATCCTATGTGAAGGAAAGTCATTCAGACACTCGTACCAGTGTTCTGGAATTCTGTGTGAGGGACAAACATTCTGATGCCCGTAGCAGTGTTCTGTAGTCCTGTGTGAGGGAAAAACATTGAGACCACAGCAGGAGTGTTCCAGAATCCCCTGTGAGGAACAGACATTCAGACCCTCATAGGAGGGTTCTGGAATCCGGTGTGACGGACAAAAATCTAGACCCCAGCAGCAGTGTTCTGGAATCCTATGTGAGGGACAAACACTCAGAACCCTGCAGCAGTGTTCTGAAACCCTATGTGAGAGATAAATATTCCGACGACAGGAGGATAGTTTTGGAATCCTATGTGAGGGACAAACACTCAGAAAACAGCAGGAGTGTTCTGGAATCCTAAATGAGGGACAAACACTCAGAAAACAGCAGGAGTGTTCTGGAATCCTAAATGAGGGACAATCTTTCAGATCGTCATAGCAGTGTTCTACAATTTTGTGTGAGGGACAAACATTCACACCCCAGCAGAAGTGTTGTGGAATCCTAAATGAGGGACAAACATTCAAACCCTCATAGGAGTGCTCTGGAATAGTGTGTGACGGAGAAACTTTTAGACTCCAGCAGCAGTGTTCTGCAATCCTTTGTAAGGGAAAAACAATCAGACCCTCACAGCTGTGTTCTGGAATCCCATGTGATGGACAAACACTCAGAACCGAGCAGCAGTGTTCTGTAACTATATGTGAGGGGCAACCATTCAGAACACAGCAGGATTGTTCTGGAATCCTACATGAGGGACTGACACTCAGAGCACAGCAGGCGTGTTTTGGAATCCTATGTGAGGGACAAACATTCTGACACTCATAGCAGGGTTCTGGAATCCTACGTGAGTGACAAACATTCAGACAATCTTAGCAGTGTTCTGGAATACTATGTGAGGGACAAACATTCAGACACTCGTAACAGTGTTTTGGAATACTATGTTGCAGACAATCATTCGTATGCTCGTAGCAGTGTTCTGGAATCCTGTGTGAAGGACAAACATTCAGACCACAGCAGGATTGTTCTGGAATCCCCAGTGAGGAACAAACGTTCAGACCTTCATAGCAGTGTTCTGGAATTCTATGTGACGGACAAACATTTAGACCCCAGCAGCGGTGTTCTGAAATCCTATGTTAGTGACAAACATTCAGACCCTTGTAGGAATGTTCTGGAATCTATGTGAGGGACTTGCTTTAAGACCACAGCAGGAGTGTTCTGGAATCTCATGTGAGGTACAAGCATTTCCACTCTCATAGCTGTGTTCTGGAATCCTATGTGATGAACAAACATTTAGACCCCAGCAGCAGTGTTCTGGAATCCTACGTGAGGGAAAAACATACAGACCATCATAGCAGTGTATTGGAATCCTGTGGGAGGGACAAACATTCAGACAATCGAAGCAGTGTTCTGGAATCCTAAGAGAGAGACAAATATTCAGAACACAGAAGGATTGTTCTGGAATCCTATGTGAGGAGCAAACACTCAGAACACAGCAGGAGTGTTGTGGAATCCTATGTGAGGGACAAACTTTGAGACCCTCGTAGTAGTGTCCTGGAATCCTATGTGAGGGACAAACATGCAGACAATTGTAGCAGTGTTCTGGAATCCTATGTGATCGACAAACCTTCGAACAACAGTGGAAGTGTTCTGGAATCCTATGTTATGGACACACATTCAGAACCTTGTGGCAGTGTTCTGGAATTCTATTTGAGAGAGAAACATTCAGAGCCCAGCAGCAGTTTTCTGGAATCCTATGTGATGAACATACATGCAGACCACAGCAGCAGTGTTCTGGAATCTTATGTGAGGGACAAACATTCAGACAATTGTAGCAGTGTTCTGGAGTCCTCCGTGAAGGACAAACATTCGGAACCCAGCAGCAGTGTTCTGGAATCCAATGTGAGGGACAAACATATAAATCACGGGGGGGAGTTTTCTGGAATCCTATGTTACGGACAAACATTCAGAACCTCGTCGCAGTGTTCTGGAATTCTATGTCAGGGAGAAACAGCCAGAACACAGTAGCAGGGTTTTGGAATCCTATGTGACGGACACACATATAGACCCCAGCAGCAGTGTTCTGGGATCCTATGTGAGAGACAAACATTCAGCACCTCGTCACAGTGTTCTCGAATCCTATGTGAGGGACAATCATTCAGATCCTCGTAGCAGTGTTCTGGAATTCTGTATGAGATACAATCATTCAGACCCTCGTAGCAGTGTTCTGGAATCCTAAGTGTGGGACAAATATTCAGACAATAGTAGTAGTGTCCTGGAAATCTATGTGAGGGACACACATTCAGACCCTCTTAGGAGTGTTCTGGAATCTTATATGAGAGACAAACATTCAGACAATCGTAGCAGTGTTCTGGAATCCTCGGTGAGGGACAAACATTCGGAACCCAGCAGCAGTGTTCTGGAATCCAATGTTATGGACAAACATTCAGAGACTCCTCGCGGTGATCTGGAATTCTATGTGATGGAGAAACACTGAGAAACCAGCAGTATTGTTCTGGAATCTGATGTGACGGACATACATTTAGACCAGAGCAGTAGAGTTGTGGAATCCTATATTGGGGCAAACATTCAGTCCCCAGCAGCATTGTCCTGCAATCCTTTGTGAGGGACAAACATTCAGAACCCAGCAGCAGTGTTCTGGAATCCTATGTGAGGCACCATCATTCAGACCCTCGAAGCAGTGTTCTGGAATTTTGTGTGAGGGGCAAACATTCAGACCCTCGTAGCAGTGTTCTGCAATCCTGTGTGAGGTACTATTATTCAGATGATGGCAGGAGAGTTCTGGAATCCCCTGTGAGGAACAAACATTCAGACCCTCCTAGCAGTGTTCTGTAACCCTATTTGAGGGACAGATATTCAGACGACAGCAGGGTTGTTCTGGAACCCTATGTGGGGGACAATCACCCAGAACACATCAGTAGTGTTTTGGAATCCTATCTGAGGGACAAACATTCAGACCCTAGTAGCACTGTTCAGGAATCCTATGTGAGGGACAAACATTCAGACAATCGTAGCATTGTTCTGGAGTCTTATGTGAGGGACAAACATTCAGACCCCAGCAGCATTGTTCTGGAATCCTATGTGGGGTTCAAACATTCAAACAACAGCGGGATTGTTCTGGAATCCTATGTTACGGACAAACATTCAGACCATCGTAGCAGTGTTCTGGTATTCTATGTGAGGGAAAAACACTGAGAATACAGCAGCAGTGTTCTGGAATCCGATGTGTGGGACAAACATTCAGACCCCAGCAGCAGTGTTCTTTAATCCTATTTGAGGGACAATCATTCAGACTCTCATAGCTGTGTTCTGGAGTTCTGCATAAGGGACAATCGTTCAGACCCACGTAGCAGTGTTCCGGAATTCTGTGTGATGGAGAAACCTTAATTACTTCATAGCAGTGTTATGGAAGCCTATCTGTGGGACAAACATTCAGACCACAGCAGGAGTGTTCTGGAACACTAAGTGTTCTCAAATCCTATGTGAGGAACAAACATTCAGACCCTCGCAGCAATGTTCTGGAATCCTATGTGACGGACAAACATTTGGACTGCAGCAGCAATGTTCTGGAATCCTATGTGAGGGACAAACTTTCAGAAAATCGTTGCAGTGGTCTGGTATCCTAGGTGAGGGACAAACATTCAGAACCCAGCAGCAGTGTTCTGGAATCCAATGTGAGGGACAAACATTCAAACAACAGAGGGAGTGTTTTGCAATCCTAGGTAAAGGACAAATATTTAGACAACAGGAGCAGTGTTCTGGAATCCTGTGGGAAGGACAAACATTAGGACCCTCAGTATAGTGTTCTAGAATCTTATGTGAGAGAAAAACATTGAGACAATCATAGCAGTGTTCTAGAATCCTTTGTGACGGACAAATATTTAGACCCCAGCAGCATTGTTCTGGAATCCTATGTGAGGGACGAACATTAAAATCACAGCGGGAATGTTCTGGAATCCTTTGTTACGGGCAAACATTCAGATCCTCGTCGCAGTCTTCTTGAATTACATGTGAGGGAGAAACACTCAGAACCCACCAGCAGTGTTCTGGAATCCTTAGCGACAGACATACATGCAGACATCAGTAGCAGTGCTCTGGGATCCTATGTGAGGGACAAACTTTCAGACGGCAGCAGCAGTGTTCTGGAATCCTGTGTGAGGGACAATCACTCAGACCCTCGTAGCTGTGTTCTGGAATTCCGTGTGATGGACAAACATTCAGACCCTCATAGCAGTGTTCTGGAAACCTATGTGAGGGACAAACATTCAGACCACAGCAGGCATGTTCTGGAATCCTCTGTGAGGAAGAAACATTCAGACCCTCGTAGCAGTGTTCTGGAATCCTATATGACAGACAAACATTTAGACCCCAGCAGCAGTGTTCTGGAATCCTGTGTGAGGGACAAACATTCACACCCTCGGAGCAGTGTTCTAGAATCCTATAAAGGGACAAACACTCAGAACCCAGCAGCCGTGTTCTGGAACCATATGTGAGGGACAAACACTGAGAACACAGCAGGATTGTTTTGGAATGCTATGTGATGGAGAAACATTCAGGCACTCGTAGCAGTGTTCTGGAATCCTAAGTGAGGGACAAACATTCAGACAATCGTAGCAGTGTTCTGGAATCCTATGCTAGGGAAAAACATTCAGACCCCAGTAGCAGTGTTCTGGAATCCTATGTGAGGGAAAAACATTCAAACAACAGCGGGAGTGTTCTGAAATAGTATGTTACTGACAAACATTCAGACCCTTGTCACAGTGCTCTGGAATTCAAGTGAGGGGGAAACACACAGAACCCAGCAGCTGTGTTCTGGAATCCTGTGTGACGGACATACACATAGACCCCAGCAGCGGTGTTCCGGAATCCTATGTGACGGACAAACATTCAGACTCCAGCAGCAGTGTTCTGGAATCCTCTGTGAGGGACCATCATTCAGACTCTCGTAGTAGTGTTCTGGAATTCTGCGTGAGGGGCAAACATTCAGACCATCGTGGCAGTGTACTGGAATCCTGTGTGAGGGATAGTCATTCCGAACACAGCAGGAGTATTCTGGAATCCCCTGTATGGAAAAAACATTCAGACCCTAGCAGCAGTGTTCTGGAATCCTATGTGAGGGACAAACATTTAGACCCCAGCAAAAGTGTTCTGGAATCCTGTGTGAGGGACAAACATTCAGACTTTCGTAGCAGAGTTCTGGAATCCTATCTGAGGGGCAAACACTCAGAAACCAGCACCAGTGTTCTGGAACCCGATGTGAGGGACAAACATTCAGACCACAGCAGGATTGCTTTGGGATCCCATGTGTGGGAAAAACAGAAAACAGCGGGAGAGTATTGGAATCCTATGTGAGGGACAAAACATTCAGACCCTCTTTGCAGTGCTGCGGAATCCTATGTGAGGGACAAACTTTCAGAAAATCACAGCAGTGGTCTGGAATCTTATGTGAGAGACAAACATTCAGAACTCAGCACCAATGTTCTGGAATCTTATGTGAGAGACAAACATTCAGAACTCAGCACCAATGTTCTGGAATCCTATGTGAGAGACAAACATTCATACAACAGCGAGAGTGTTCTGCAATCCTAGGTAATGGACAAACATTTAGAAACCAGCAGCAGTGTTGTGGAATCCTATGAGAGGCACAAACATTCAGACCTTAGTAGAGTTATTCTGGAATCCCATGTGAGGGACAAACATTCAGAACCTCGTCGCAGTTTTCTGGAATTCTGTGTGAGGCAGAAACACTCTGAACCCAGAAGCAGTGTTCTGGAATCCTCTATGACAGACACACATGTAGACCTCAGCAGCTGTGTTCGGGAATCCTATGTGAGGGACAAGCATTCAGACCGCAACAGCATTATTGTGGAATCCCAAGTCAGGGACAATCATTCAGACCCTCGTAAGAGTGTTCTGGAATTTTGTGTGAGAGACAAACATTCAGACACTCATAGCAGTGTTCTGGAAAGCTATGTGAGGGAGAAACATTCAGACAACAGTAGGCGTGTTCTGGAATCCCCTGTGAGGAAAAACATTCATACCCTCGTAGCAGTGTTCTGGAATCCTATGTGATGGACAAACATTTAGACCCCATCAGCAGTGTTCTGGAATCCCGTGTGAGCAAAAAACATTCAGACGCTAGAAGCAGTGTTCCGGAGTCCTATGTAGGAACAAACACTCAGAACCCAGCAGCACTGTTCTGGAACGCTATGTGAGGGACAAAGATTCAGACCACAGCAGGATTATACTGGAGTCCTATGTGAGGGACAAACACTCAGAACAGAGCAGGAGTGTTTTGGAATCCTATGTGTCAGACAAACATTCAGACACTCATAGCAGTGTTCTGGAATCCAATGCAAGAGACAAACTTTCAGACCACAGCAGCAGTGTTGTGGAATCCTCTGTGAGGAACAAACTTTCAGAATATCGTAGCAGTGTTCTGGAATCCTATGTGAGGGACAAACATTGAGATCCCAGCAGCAGTGTGCTGGAATCCTATGTGAAGGACAAACATTCAAACAACAGCGAGAGTGTTCTGGAATCCTAACAAGTAGACAAACATTTAGACACCAGCAGCAGTGTTCTGGAATCCTATGTGAGGAAAAACATATTCAGACCCTCGTAGGGTTATTCTGGAATCCTATATGAGGAACATATATTCAGACCCTCATAGGATTATTCTGGAATCCTATGTGATTCAGACACCAGGAGCAGTGTTCTGGAATCCTATGTGTGAGACAAACATTCAAACAACAGTGTGAGTGTTCACGAATCCTATGTGACGGACAAACATTCAGACCTTCCTCGCAGTGTTTGGAATTCTATGTGAGGGAGAAACACTCAGAACCCAGCAGGAGTGCTCTGGAATCCTATCTGACGGACATACATGTAGACCCCAGCAGCAGTGTCCTCGAATCTCATGTGAGGGAGAAACATTCAGACCCCAGGAGCAGTGTTCTGGAATCCTATGTGAGGACAATGATTCAGGACCTCGTAGCAGTGTTCTGGTATTCTGTGTGAGGTACAAACTTTCAGACTCTCTTACCACTGTTCTGCAATCATGTGTGAGAGAAAAACATTCAGACCCACAGCAGGAGTGTTCTGGAATCACCTGTGAGGAACAAACATTCAGATCCTCCTAGCACTGTTCTGGAATCCTGTGTGACGGACAAACATTTAGACGCCAGCAGCAGTGTTCTGGAATCCTAATTGCGGGACAATCATTCAGACCCTTGTAGCAGTGTTATGGAATCCTTTGTGAGGGACAGACATTTAGAACCCAGCGACAGCATTCTGGAACACTATGTGAGTGAGAAACATTCAGACCACAGCAGGATTGCTCTGGAATCCTATGTGAGGGACTAATATTCAGACCTTCGTAGCAGTGTTCTGGAATCCTAAGTGAGGGACAAACATTCAGACAACCGTAGCAGTGTTCCGGAATCCTATGTGAGGGACATTCATTCAGACGTTCGTAGCTGCGTTGTGGAATTCTGTGTAAGAGCCATATATTGAGATCCTCAAAGCCGTGTTCTGGAATCCTACGTGAGGGACAAACATTCAGACCACAGGAGGATTGTTCTGGAATCCTCTGTGAGGAAAAAACATTCAGACCCTCGTAGCAGTGTTCTGGAATCCTATGTGAGGGACGAACCTTTAGACCCCAGCAGCAGTGCTCTTGAATCCTACGTGAGGAAAAAACATTCAGACACTCGTAGCATTGTTCTCGAATCACATGTGAGGGACAAACATTCAGATAATCTTAGCCATGTTCTGGAATCCTATGTGAGGGACAAATATTCAGACCCCAGCAGCGTTCTGGAATCCTATGTGAGGAACAAACATTCAAACAACAGCGGGAGTGTTGTCGAATCCTATGTAACAGACAGACTTTCAGAACCTCGTCGCAGTGTTCTGGAATTCTGTGTTAGAGAGAAACACTCAGAAACCAACAGGAGTGTTCTGGAATCCTATGTGATGGACATACATGTAGACGCCAGCAGCAGTGTTCTTGAATCATATGTGAAGACAAACATTCAGATCTCAAAAGCAGTGTTCTGGAATCCTCTGTGAGGGTCAATCATTCAGACCCTTGTAGCAGTGTTCTGGAGATGTTTGTGAGGGAGGAAGCTTCAGACCCCCATAGCAGCGTTCTGGAAGCCTATATGAAGGACAAACATTCGGACTAGAGCAGGATTGTTCTGGAATCCAATGGGAGGAACAAATATCCGGACCCTCGTAGCATAGTTCTGGAATCCTATGTGACGGACCAACATTTAGAGCCCAGCAGCAGTGCTCTGGAACCTCAAGTGAGGGACAAACATTCAGACACTCAGTGCAGTGTTCTATAATCCTATATGAGGGACAAACATTGAAACAATCGTAGTAGTGTTCAGGAACCTATGTGACGGACAAACATACAGACCCCAGCAGCAGTGTTTTCGAATCCTATGTGGGGGACAAACATTCAAACAACAGCAAGAGTGTTCTGGAATCCTCTGTTACAGAGAAACATTCAGATCCTCGTCGCAGTGTTCTGGAATTCTAACTGAGGGAGAAACACTCTGAACCCAGCAGCAGTGTTCTGGAACCCTATGTGACAGACATACATGTAGACCCCAGCAGCAGTGTTCTGGAATCCTATGTGAGGGACAAATATTCAGACAGCAGCCGTAGTATTCTGGAATCCTATGTGAAGGATAGTCATTCAGACCCTCATAGCAGTGTTCTGGAATTCTCTGTGTGGGACAAACATTCAGACCCTCATAGCAGTGTTCTGGAATCCCCGGTGAGGAACAAACATTCAGAGCCTCATATCAGTGTTCTGGAATCCTATGTGACGGACAAACATTAAGTCCCCAGAAACAGTTTTCTGGAATACTGTGTGAGGAACAAACATTCAGACCCTGGTAGTAGTGTTCTGGAATCCTATGTGAGAGACAAACACTCAGAACCCAACAGCAGTGTTTTGGAACCCTATGTGAGGGTCAATCATTCAGGCCACAGCAGGATTATGCTGGAGTCCTATGTGAGGGACACTCAGAACATAGCAGGAGTGTTTTGGAATCCTATGTGAGGGAAAAACTTTCAGACACTCGTAGCAGTGTTCTGGAATCCTATGTGGGAGACAAACATTCATACAATCTTAGCAGTGTACGGGAATTCTTTGCGAGGGACAAACATTCAGACCCCAGCAGCAGTGTTCCAGAATCCTATGTGAGCTATAAACATTGATACAACAGTGGGAGTGTTCTGGAATCCTATGTTATGGACAAACATTCAGACCCTCGTCACAGTGTTCTGGAATTCTATGTGAGGGAGAAACACTCAGAACCCAGCAACAGTGTACTGGAATCCTATGTGACGGACATACATGTAGACCCGAGCAGCAGTGTTCTGGAATACTATGTGAGGGACAAACATTCATAACACGGCAGGAGTGCCCTGGAATCCTATGTGAGGGAAAACATTCAGACAATCGTAGCAGTGTTTTGGAATCTTATGTGAGGGACTAACTTTCAGACCCCATCAGCAGTGTTCTGGAATCCTATATGAGGGACAAAACATTCAAACTACAGAGGCTGTGTTCTGGAATCCTAAGTTATGGACAAAAATTCAGATCCTCTCCGCAGTGCTCTGGAATTCTATTTGAGGGAGAAACAATCAGAACCCAGCAGCAGTGTTCTCGAATCCTACATGAGGGACATACATTCAGACCACAGCAGCAGTGTTCTAGAACCCTATGTGAGGGACAAGCATTCAGACCGTCGTAGCAGTGTTCTCGAATTCTGTGTGAAGGACAAAGATTCAGACCATCAGAGCAGTGTTCTGGAATCCTTTGTGAGGGACAAACATTCAGACCACAGCAAGAGTCTTCTGGAATCCACTGTGAGGAACAAACATTCAGAACCTCATAGCAGTGTTCTGGAATCCTATGTGATGGACAAACATTTAGACCTCAGAAGCAGTGTTCTGTAATCCTGTGAGAGACAAACATTCAGACACTCGTTGCAGTGTACAGGAATCCTGTGTGAGGGAAAAGAACTCAGAACCCAGCAACAGTGTCCTGGAACCCTATGTGAGGGACAAACATTCAGGCCACAGCAGGATTGTTCTGGAATCCTACGTGAGGGACAAACACTCAAACACAGCGGGAGTGTTTTGGAATCCAATATGAGGGAGAAACATTCAGACCCTCATAGCAGTGTTCTGGAATCCTATGTGAGGGACAAACATTCAGAAAATCGTAGCCATGTTCTGGAATCTCAAGAAAGGGAAATAAATTCAGACCCCAGCAGCAGTGTTTTGTAATCCTATGTGAGGGAGAAACATTGAACCAAGATCGGGAGTGTTCTGCAATCCCTGGTTATGGACAAATATTCAGAACCTCGTCTCAGTGCTCTGGAATTCTATGTGAGGTAGAAACAGTGAGAACCCAGCAGCAGTATTCTGGAATCCTATGTGAGGGAAAATCATTCAGACCCCAGCAGGAGTGTTCTGGAATCCTATGGGAGGGACAATCATTCAGACAATCGTAGCAGTGTTCTGGAATCCTATGTGAGGGGCAAACATACAGACACTTGTAGCAGTGTTCTGGAATCCTATGTAAGTGACAAATATTCAGACCCTTGTAGCATTTTTCTGGAATCCTATGTGAGGGACAAACATTGAGACAATCGTAGCTGTGTTCTCGAATCCTATGTGAGGGAGAAACATTCAGACTACAACAGCAGTGTTCTGGAATCGTATGTGAGGGACAAACATTCCAACAACAGAGTGAGTGTTCTGGAATCCTAAGCTACGGACATACATTCAGAAATTCGTCTCAGTGATCTGGAATTCTATGTGAGGGTGAAACACTCAGAAACCGGCAGCAATGTTCTTAAATCCTATGTGACAGACATACATGTAGACGGTAACAGCAGTGTCCTGTAATTCTGTGTGATGGAAAAACATTCAGACACTCATAGCAGTGTTCTGGAATCCTATTTGAGGGACAAACATTCAGACCACAGCTGGAGTGTTCTGCAATCCCCTGTGAGTAACAAATATTCAGATCCTAGTAGCAGTGTTCTGGAATCCTATGAGGGACAAACATTCGGATCCTCTTAGCAGTGATCTGGAATCCTATGTGAGGGTAAATCATTCAGAACCTAGTTGCGGTGTTCTGGAATCCTATATGAGGGACAAACATTCGGATCCTCTTAGCAGTGTTCTGGAATCCTATGTAACGGACAAACATTAAGACCCCAACTGCAACTGCAGTGTTCTGGAATCCCATGTGAGGGACAAGCATTCAGACCCTTGTAGCAGTGTTCTGGATTCCTATGTGAGGGAGAAACACTCAAAACCCAGCAACAGTGTTCTGGAACCCTATGTGAGGGACAAACATTCACACCACAGCAGGATTGTTCTGGAATACTATGTGAGGGACAAACACTCAGAACATAGCAGGAGTGTTTTGGAATCGTATGTGAGGGACAAACATTCGGATCCTCTTAGCAGTGTTCTGGAATCCTATGTGACGGACATACATGTAGAACCCAGCAGCAGTGTTCTGAAGGCCTATGTGAGGGACAAACATTCAGACCCCAGGAACAGTCTTCGGGAATCGTATGTGAGGGTAAATCATTCAGAACGTCGTAGCAGTGTTCTGGAATTCTGTGTGAGGGACAAACATTCAGACCACAGCAGCAGTATTCTGGAATCCTATGTGAGGGAAAAACATTCAAACAACTGCAGGTGTGTTCTGGAATCCTATGTGAGGGAAAAACATTCAAACAACTGCAGGTGTGTTCTGGAATCCTATGACAAGGAAAAACATTCAGACCCTCCTCGCAGTGTTCTTGAATTCTATGTGAGGGAGAAACACTCCGATTCCTGTAGCAGTGTTCTGGAACCCTATGTGACAGACCTACTTGTAGACTCCAGCAGCAGTGTTCTGGAACCCTATGTGAGGGACAATCATTCCGACCCTCGTGGCAGTGTTCTGGAATTTTGTGTGAGGGATAAACATTCAGACCCCAGCGCGAGTGTTCTGGAATCCCACGTGAGTGACAAGCATTCAAAAAATCTTAGCAGTGTTCTGGAATCCTATATGAGAGACAAACTTTCAGACCCTCGTAGCAGTATTCTGGAATCCTATGTGGGGGCAAACATTCAATCATAGCAGTGTTCAGGAATCCTATGTGAGGGACAAACATTTAGACTGTCGTAGCAGTGTTCTGGAATCCTATGTGAGGGACAAGCATTGAGACAATCGTGGCAGTGTTCTGGGATCCTATGTGAGGGACAAACATTCAGACAATTGTAGCAGGGTTCTGGAATCCTATGTGAGGGACAAACATTCAAAAAACAGAGAGAGTGTTCTGGAACCCTATGTTACGGACAAACATTCAGACAATCGTAGCAGGGTTCTGGAATCCTATGTGAGGGACAAACATTCAAAAAACAGAGAGATTGTTCTGGAACCCTATGTTACAGACAAACATTGAGACCATCGTTGCAGTGTTCTGGAATTCCCTGTGAGGGACAAAAACTCGGAACCCAGCGGCAGTGTTCTGGAATTCCCTGTGAGGGACAAAAACTCGGAACCCAGCGGCAGTGTTCTGGAATCCTATGTGAGGGACAAACATTCAGACTCCAGCAGCAGTGTTCTGGAATCCCATGTGAGGCACAATCATTCAGACCATCATAGCCGTGTTTTGGAATTCTGTGTGAGGGGCAAACATTCAGACCGTCGTAACAGTGTTCTGCAATCCTGTGTGAGGGAAAAACATTCCGACCACAGCAAGAGTGTTCTGGAATCCCCTGTGAGGAACAAACATTCCGACCCTCATAGCAGTGTACTGGAATCTTATCTGTTGGACAAATATTTAGAACCCAGCAGCAGTGTTCTGGAATCCTATGTGAGTGACAAACACTCAAAACATAGCAGGAGTGTTTTAGAATACTATGTGAGGGATAAACAATCTGACCTTCACAACAGTGTTCTGGAATCCTGAGTGAGGGATAAACATTCAGACCCTGATAGCAGTGTTCTGGAATCCTATGTGAGGGACAAACATTCAGACCACAGCAGGACTGTTTTGGAATTCCCTTTGAGAAACAAACTTTTAGACCCTCATAGCTGTGTTCTGCAATCCTGTGTGTGGGACAAAATTTCAAAACCTCGTAGCAGTGTTCTGGAATCCTATGTGAGGTACAAACATTCAGACAATCGTAGCAGTGTTCTGGAATCCCATGTGAGGGACAAACATGCAGACCCTCGTAAGAGTGTTCTGGAATCCTATGTGAGAGACAAACATTCAGACAATCGTAGCAGTGTTCTGGAATCCAATGTTAGTGACAAAGTTTCAGACCCCAGCAGCAGTGTTCTGGAATCCTATTTGAGGGACAACCATTCAGACACTTTCAGCAGTGTTCCAGAATCCTGTGTCAGGGACAAACATTTTGACCACTGCAGGACTCTTCTGGAATCCCTTGTGGGGAACAAACATTCAGACCCTCGTAGGTGTGTTCTGTAATCCTATGTGACTGACACACATTTAGACCACAGCAGCAGTGTTCTGGAATCCCATGTGAGGGACAAACATTCAGACACTCGTAGCAATGTTCTGGAGTCCTGTGTGAGGGACAAAAATTCAGGCCACACCAAGAGTGTATTGGAATCCCCTGTGAGGAACAAACATTTTGAACCTCCTAGCAGTGTCTGGAATATTATCTGACGGACAAACATTTAGACCCCAGCAGCAGTATTATAGAATCTCATGTGAGGGACAATATTTCAGAACGTCATAGCAGTGTTCTGGAATATTATATGAGTGAAAAATATTCAAACATCCTCGGGAGTGTTCTGGAATCTTATGTCACGGACAAGCATTCAGACCCTCGTCGCAGTGTTCTGGAATTCTATGTGAGGGAGAAACACTCAGAACCCAGCAGCAGTGTTCTGGAATCCTATGTGAAGGACATACATGTAGACCATAGCAGCAGTGCTCTGGAATCCTTTGTGACAGACAAACATTCAGACCCCAGCAGCAGTGTTCTGGAATCCTGTGTGAGGGACAAACATTCAGACCCCAGCTGCAGTGTTCTGGTATCCTATGTGATGGACAGTCATAAAGACCCTCGTAGCAGTGTTCTGGAATTCTTTGTGAGGGACAAACATTCAGACATTCATAGCAGTGATGTGGAATCCCATGTGAGTGACAAACATTCAGACCACAGCAGAAGTGTTCTGGAATCCCCTGTGAGGAACAAACATTCAGACTCTCGTAGTAGTGTTCTGGAATCCTATTTGAAGGACAAACATTTAGGCCCCAGCAGCAGGGTCCTTGAATCCTATGTGAGGGACAAATATTCAGACCCTGGTAGCACTGTTCTGGCTTTCTTTCTGAGGGACAAACATTCAGTCCACAGCAGGAGTGTTCTGGAATCCTAAGTGAGGGACAAACATTCACACCCTCGTAGCAGTGTTCTGGAATCCTATGTGAGGGACAAACATTCAAATAAATACTTGAGTGTTTTTGAATCCTATGTTACGGACAAACATTCAAACCCTCGTCGCAGTGTTCTGGAATTGTTTGTGAGTGAGAAACACTCAGAAACCAGCAGCAGTGTTCTGGAATCCTATGTTTCGGACATAAATGTAGACCCCAGCAGCAGTGTTCTGGAATCCTAAGTGAGGGACAAACATTCAGACCCTAGCAGCAGCATTCTGGAATCCTATTGAGGGACAAAAATTCTGACCCTCATCTCAGTGGTCTGGAATTCTAGGTGAGGAAGAAACTCAGACAATCGTAGCAGTGTTCTGGAATCCTATGTGAGGGGCAAACATTCAAACAACAGCGGGAGTGGTCTTGAATCATATGTTATGGACAAACACTCAGACCCTCGTAGCAGTGTTCTGGAATCCTATGAGAGGGACAAACATTCAGACCCTCCAGGTTTGTTCTGGAATCCTATGTGAGGGACAAATATTAAGAAAATCGTAACATTGTACTGGAATCCTGTGTGAGGGACAAACATTCAGTCCCCATTAGCAGTGTTCTGGATTCCTATGTGAGGGACAAACATTCCCACAACAGCGGGAGTGTTCTGTAATCCTATGTTACGGACAAACATTCAGACCCTCATCGCAGTGTTCTGGAATCCTATGTGAGGGAGAAACACTTAGAAACCAGCTGCAGTGTTCTGGAATCTTATGGGATGGACACACATGTAGACCCCAGCAGCATTGTTCTGGAATCCTGTGAGACGGACAAACATTCAGACCCCAGCAGCAGTGTTCTGGAATCCTAGAGTAGGGATAATCATTAAGATCCTGGCTGCAGTGTTCTGCAATTCTGTGTGAGGGACAAACATTCAGAGCCTCATAGGAGTGTTCTGGAATCCTATGTGATTGACAAACATTCAGACCACAGCAGGAGTGTTCTCGAATCCCCTGTGAGGAACAAATATTCAGACCCTCGTGGCAGTGTTCTGTAATCCTATGTGAGGGACCAACATTTAGACCACAGCAGCAGTGTTCTGGAATCCTATGTGAGGGACAAACATTCAAACAACAGCGGGACTGTCCTTGAATCATATGTTACGGACAAACATTCAGACCCGCGTAGCAGTGTTCTGGAATCCTTTGAGAGGGACAAACATTCAAACAACTGCGGGAGTGTTCTGTAATCCTATGTTATGGACAAATATTAATATAATCGTAACATTGTTCTGGAATCCTGCGTGAGGGACAAACATTCAGTCCCCATTAGCAGTGTTCTGGATTCCTATGTGAGGGACAAACATTCAAACAACTGTGGGAGTGTTCTGTAATCCTATGTTATGGACAAATATCAGACCCTTGTCGCAGTGTTCTGGAATTCTATGTGAGGGAGAAACATTTAGAAACCAGCAGCACTGTTCTGGAATCCTATGGGATGGACACACATGTAGACCCCAGCAGCATTATTCTGGAATCCTATGAGACAGACAAACATTCAGACCCTAGCAACAGTGTTCTGGAATCCTAGAATAGGGATAATCATTCAGACCCTGGTAGCAGTATTCTGGAATTCTGTGTGAGGAACAAACATTCAGAGCCTCATAGCAGTGTTCTGGAATCCTATGTGATTGACAAACATTCAGACAACAGCAGGAGTGTTCTGGAATCATCTGTGAGGAACAAACATTCAGACAACAGCAGGAGTGTTCTGGAATCATCTGTGAGGAACAAACATTCAGACCCTCTTAGCAGTGTTCTGTAATCCTATGTGAAATCATCCTATGTGACAGACAAACATTTAGACCCCAGCAGCAGTGTTCTGGAATCCTATGTGAGGTAGAAACATTCAGACCCTCATAGCAGTGTTCTGGAATCCTACATGAGCGACAAACACACTGAAACCAGCAGCAGTGTTCTGGAACCCTATGTGAGGGATAAACATTCAGACCATGCCAGGATTGTTCTGGAAACCTATGTGAGGGACCAACACTCCGAACCCAGCAGAAAGGTTTTGAAATCCTGTGTGAGGGACAAACGTTTAGACTCTCGTAGCAGTGTTCTGGAATCATATGTGAGGGACAAATATACAGACCATAGCAGGAGTGTTCTGGAATCCTATGTGAGGGACAAACATTCAGACCCTCATAGCAGTGATCTGGAATTCTATGTGAGGGACAAACATTCAGACATTGGTAGCATTGTTCTGGAATCCAATGTGAGGGACAAACATTCTGACCCTCATAGCAGTGTACCAGAATCCTGTGTTAGGAACGAACATTCAGACCACAGCATTAGTGTTCTGGAATCCCCTGTGAGGAACAAACATACAGACCCTCGTAGTAGTGTTCTGGAATCCTATGTGACGGCCAAATATTTATACCCCAGGAGCAGTGTTCTGGAATCCTCAGTGAGGAAAACCATTCAGAATCTTGTAGCAGTTTTGTGGAATCCTATGTGAGGGACAAACATTCAGACCACAGCGGGATTGTTCTGGAATGATATGTGAGGGACAAACACTAAGAAAATAACAGGAATGTTTTGGAATCCTATGTGAGTGACAAAAATTCAGACCCTCGTAGTAGTGTTCTGGAATCGTATGTGAGGGACAAGCATTCAGACCACAGCAGGAGTGTTCTGGAATCCTATGGGAGGGACATACATTCAAACCCTAGTTAGCAGTGTTCTGGAATCCTATGTGAGGGAAAAGCATTCAGAGTTTTGTAGCAGTGTTCTGGAATCCTATGTGAGGGACAAACATTCAGACCCTCAAAGGAGTATTCTGGAATCCTATGTGAGGGACAAACATTGAGATAATCATAGCAGTGTGCTGGAATCCTATGTGAGGGACAAACATTCAGACCCCAGCAGCAGTGTTCTGGAATCCTATGTGAGTGATAAACATTCAAACAACAGCGGGAGTGTTCCATAATCCTATGTTACAGACAAATATTCACACCGTCTTCACAGTGTTCTTGAATCCTATGTGAGGGACAAACACTCAGAAATGAGCAGCAGTGTTCTGGAACCCTGTGTGAGGGTCAAAATTTCAGACCACAGCAGGATTGTTCTGTAATCCTATGTTACGGACAAACATTTAGACCTCAGCAGGAGTGTTCTGGAATTCTATGCGAGGCACAGTCATTCGTACCCTCGTAACAGTGTTCTGGAATTCTGTGTGAGGGACAAGCATTCAGAACGTCGTAGCAGTGTTCTGGAATCCTATGTGAAGGACAACCATTCAGACCACAGGAAGAGTGCTCTGGAATCCCCAGTGAGGAACAAACATTCAGACACTAGTAAAAGTGTTCTGGAATCCTATGTGACAGACAAACATTCAGACCCCAGCAGCAGTGTTCTGGAGTTTTATGTGAGGGAAAAACGTTCAGACAATCATAGCAGAATTCTGGAATCCTATGTGAGGGACAAACATTCAGACCTCAGCTGCTGCGTTCTGGAATCCTATGTGAGGGACAAACATTCATACAACAGTGGGAGTGTTCTGGAATCCTATGTTACAGGCAAATATTCAGACCCTCGTCCGAGTGTTCTGGAATTCTATGTGAGGGAGAAACATTCAGAACCCACCAGCATTGTTCTGGAATCCTATGTGACGGACAGACATGCAGACCCCAGCAGCATTGTTCTGGAATCCTATGTGACGGTCAGACATGTAGACCCCAGCAGCATTGTTCTGGACTCCTATGTGAGGGATGATCATTCAGACCCTCGTTGCAGTGTTTTGGAATTCTGTGTGAGTGAGAAACATTCAGACCCTTGTAGAAGTGTTCTGGAGCCCTGTGTGAGGGACAAACATTCAGACCACAGCAGGAGTGTTCTGGAATCCACCGTGAGGAACAAACATTCCGACCCTCGTAGCAGTGTTCTGGAATCCTAAGTGATGGATAAACATTTAGACCCAGTAGCAGTGTTCTGGAATCCCCAGTGAGGAACAAACATTCAGACAATCGTAGCAGTTTTCTGGTATTCTATGTGAGGGACAAACATTCAGACCCCAGCAGCAGTGTTCTGGAATCCTATGTGTGGGACATACATTCAGACCCTCGTAGGAATGTTCTGGAATCCTTTGTGAGGGACATGTATTAAGATAATCATAGCAGTGTTCCAGAATCCTATGTGAGGGACAAACATTCAGACCCCAGGAGCAGTGTTCTGGAATCCTATGTGAGGGAGAAACATTCAACCAACAGCGGGAGTGTTCTGAAATCCTATGTTAAGGACAAACATTCAGACCCTAGTTGCAGTGTTCTAGAATTCTATGTGAGGGAGAAACACTCAGAAACCTGCAGCAGTGTTCTGGAATCTAGGTGACGCCCATAAATCTGCACCCCAGCAGCAGTGTGGTGGAATCCTATATGATGGACAAACATCCAGAACCCAGCAGCAGTGTTCTGGAATCCTATGTGAGGTACAAACATTCAGACCCCAGCAGCAGTGTTCTGGAATCCTATGAGAGGGACAATCATTCAGACCCTTGTAGCAGTATTGTGGAATTCTGTGTGAGGGATAAACATCCAGAAACTCATAGCAGTGTTCTGGAATGCTCTGTGAAGTACAAACATTCAGACCCTCGTAGCAGTGTTCTGGAATACTACGTGAGGGACAAACATTGAGACCTCATAGCAGTGTTCTGGAATCCTATGTGACAGACAAACATTTAGATGGCAGCAGCAGTGTTCTGGAATCCTATGTGAGGTACAAACATTCAGAACACTGCAGAAGTGTTCTGGAATCTCCTGTGAGGAAGAAACTTTTAGACCCTCATAAAAGTGGTCTGGATTCCGATGTGATGGACAAACATTTAGACCCCAGCAGCAGTGTTCTGGAATCCTATGTGAGAGACAAACATTCAGAACCTCATAGCAGTGTTCTGGAATCCTATGTGAGGGACAAACCCTCAGAACTCAGCAACTGTATTCTGGAATCCTATGGAGGGACAAACATTGAGACCACAGCAAGATTGTTCTGAAATCCTATGTGGGGGACAAACACTTCGAACACTGCAGGAGTGTTTTGGAATCCTATGTGAGGGACAAACATTCAGAGCCTCGTAGCAGTGTTCTGGAATCCTATGTGAGGGAAAAACTATCAGACCACAGCAGGAGTGTTCAGGAATCCTATGTGAGGGACTAACATTTAGATAATCAAAGCCGTGTTCTGGAATCCTATGTGAGAGGCAAACATTCATACACTCATAGCAGTGTTCTGCAATCCTATGTGAGGGACAAATATTCAGATCATCCTAGCAGTGTTCTGGAATCCTATGTGAGGGACAGATATTCAGATCATCCTAGCAGTGTTCTGGAATCCTATGTGAGGGACAAAAATGCAGACAGTCGTAGCAGTGTTCTGGAATCCTATGTGAGGGACAAAAATGCAGACAATCGTAGCAGTGTTCTGTAATCCTATGGGAGGGACAAAAATTCAGAGCCTCCCAGCAGTGTTCTGGAATCCTATGTGAGGGTCAGACATTCAGACAATCGTAGAGTGTTCTGGAATCCTATGGGAGGGATAAACATTCAAAAAACAGCGAGAGCGTCTGACATCCTACGTTTCGGACAAACATGCATACCCTCGTCGCAGTGTTCTGGAATTTATGTGAGGGAGAGACACACAGAACACAGCAGCAGTGTTCTGGATTCCTATGTGACGGACATACATGTAGACCCCAGCAGCAGCGTTCTGGAATCCTATGTGAGGGAAAAACATTCAGGCACCAGCAGCAGAGTTCTGGAATCCTATATGAAGGACAATCATTCAGACCCTCGTAACAGTGTTCTGGAATTCTGTGTGAGGGACAAACATTCAGACCACAGCAGGACTATTCTGGAATCCCCAGTGAGGAAGAAACATTCAGACCCTCGTAGCACTGTTCTTGAATCCTGTGTGATGGACAAACATTTAGACCCCAGCAGCGGTGTTCTGGAATCCTATGTGTGGGACCGTCATTCAGAACCTCGTAGCGTGTTCTGGAATCTGGTGTGATGCAGAAACATTCAGATCACAACAGTAGTGTTCTGGATCTGATGTGTCTACAAACACTCAGAACACAGCAGGAGTGTTTTGGAATCCTATATGAGGGAAAAACATTCAGACCCTCGTAGCAGTGTTCTGGAATCCTATCTAAGGGACAAACATTCAGACAATCATAGGAGTGTTCTGGAATCCGATGTGAGGGACAAACATTCAGACTCTTGTATCAGTGTTCTGAAATCCTACGTGAAAGACAAACATTCAAACAATCGCAGCAGTGTTCTGGAATCCTATGTGAGGGACAAATATTCAGACCCTCGTAGCAGTGTACTGGAATCCTATGTGAGGGACAAACTTTCAGACCAGAGCAGCAGTGTCCTTGAATCCTGTGTGAGGGACAAATATTGAGATCCCAGCAGGAGTGTTCTGGAATCTTTTGTTAATGAGAAACATTCAGACTACAGCAGGAGTGTTCTGGAATCCTATGGGAGCAACAAACATTCAGACCCCAGCACCAGTGTTCTTTTGTCCTATGTGAGAAACAAAAATTCAGATGCTCGCAGCAGTGTTCTGAAATCCTATGTGAGGGAAAAACATTCAGAACCTCGTAGCAGTGTTTTGGAATCCTATGGGAGGACAAAAAATCAGACACTCCTACTAGTGCTCTGGAAACCTATGTGAGGGACAAACATTCAGACCACAGCAGGAGTGTTCTGGAATCGCCTGTGAGGGAGAAACATTCAGACCCTCATAGCTGTGTTCTGGAATCCAATGTGACGGACAAAGATTTAGACCCCAGCAGCAGTGTTCTGGAATCCTATGTGATGGACAGACATTCAGACAATCGTAGCAGTGTTCTGGAATCCTATGTGAGGGACAAACATTCAGAACCCAGCAGCAGTGTTCTGGAATCCTATGTGAGGAACAAACATTCAAACAAACAACAGCGGGAGTGTTCGGGAATCTTATGTTACGGACAAACATTCAGACCATCATCGCAGTTTTCCGGAATTCTATGTGACGGAGAAAGACTCAGAACTCCGCAGCAGTGTTCTGGTATTCTATGCGATGGACATACATGCAGACCTCAGCAGCAGTGTTCTGGACTCGTATGTGAGGGACAAACATTCAGACCCCAGCAGCAGTCTTCTGAAATCCTACATGAGAGACAATCATTCAGCCCCTCGTTGCATTGTTCTGGAATTCTGTGTGAGGGAAAAACTTTCAGACAATCATGGCAGTGTTCCAGAATCCTACGTGAGGGTCAAACTTTCAGAACACAGAAGTAGTGATCTGGAATCCCCTGTGAGGAATAAACATTCAGAACCCTGTAGCAGTAACCTGGAATCCGATGTGACGGACAAACCTTTAGACCCCAGCAGCATTGATCTGGAATCCTATTTGAGGGACAATCATTCAGACCCTCTCAGCAGTATTCTGTCATCCTATGTGCGGGAGAAACATTCAGACCACAGTGGGGGTGTTCTGTAATAATATGTGACAAACATTTCGATCCTCACAGAAGTGTTCTGGAATATTATATGAGGGACAAAGGTTCAGACAATTGTAGCAGTGTTCTGGAATCCTACGTGAGGGACAAACATTCAGAACCTAGAAGCAGTGTTCTAGAATCCTATATGAGGGACAAACGTTCAAACAACAGCGGGAGTGTTCTGGAGTCCTATGTTATGGACAAACATTCAGACCCTAGCAGAAGTGTTCTGGAATCCCATGTGACAGACAAACACTCAAACAAGAGCGGGAGTGGTCTGGAATCCTAAGTTAGGATCATACATTCAGACCCCCGTTGCAGTGTTCTGGAATTCTATGTGTGGGAGAAACACTCAGAACCAGCAGCAGTGTTCCGGCATCCAATGTGAGGGACACACGAGTAGACTGCAGCAGCAGTGTTCTGGAATCCTATGTGAGGGACAAACATTCAGACCCCAGCAGCAGTGTTCTGGAATACTATATGAGGCACATTCATTCAGACCCTCGTTGCAGTGATCTGGAATCCTATGTGAGGGACAAACAGAACACAGCAGGAGTGTTTTGGAATCCCCTGTGAGGAACAAATATTCAGACCCTCGTCGCAGTGTTCTGGAATCCGATGTGAGGGACCAACAATCAGACAATCGTAGAAGTGTTCTGAAATCCTATCTGAGGGACAAACATTCAGACCCTTGTAGCAGTGTTCTGGAATCCTATGTGAGGGAGAAACATTCAGACAACCGTAGAACTGTTCTGGAATGTGAGTGACAAATATTCAGTCCCCAGCAGCAGTGTTCTGGAATCTTATGTGAGGGAAAAACATTCAAAAAACAGCGGAAGTGTTCTGGAATCCTACGTTAGAAACATAAATTCCAAGTATAATAATAATAAACGAAATAATATAACATAAAAAGAAACATACATTCAGACCCTCGATGCAGTGTTCTGGAATCTATGTGAGGGAGAAACACTCAGAACCCGGCCTCAGTGTTCTGGAATCCGATGTGAAAGACATACACATAGACTCCTGCAGCAGTGTTCTGGAGTCCTATGTGGGGGACAAACATTAAGACCCCAGAAGCAGTGTTCTGGAATCCTACGTGAGGGACAGTCAATCAGACCCTCGTAGTAGTGTTCTGGAATTCTGTGTGAGGGACAAACATTCAGACCCTCCTTGCAGTTTTCTGGAATTCAATGTGAGGGACAAACTTTCAGACCACAGCAGGGGTGTTGTGGAATCCCCGGTGAGGAACAAACATTGAGACACTCGTAGCAGTGTTCAGGAATCCTATGTGATGGACAATCATTTAAACCCCAGCAGCAGTGTTCTGGAATCCTATGTGAGAGAGAAACATTCAGACACTCGTAGCAGTGTTCTGGAATCCTATGTGAGGGACAAACACTCAGAACCCAGCTGCAGTGTTCTGGAACACTATGTTAGGGACAAACATTCAGACCACAGCAGGATTGTTCTGGAATTCTATGTGAGGGACACACATTCAGAAAACAGCAGGAGTGTTTTGGAATCCAACTTGGAGGACAAATATTCAGACCCTCGTAGCAGTGTTCTGGAATCCTATGTGAGGAGCAAACATTCACATAATCGTAGCAGTGTTCTGGAATCCTATGTGAGGGACAAACATTCAGAACTTCATAACAGTGTTCTTAAATCCAATGTGAGGGACAAACATTCAGACTGTCGTAGCGGTGTTCTGGAATCCTATGTGAGAGACAAACCCTCAGAACACAGCAAGAGTGTTTTGGAATCTTATGTGAGAGACAAATATTCAGATCCTCATAGCAGTGTTCTGGAATCCTATGTTAGGGACAAACATTCAGACTATCGTAGCAGTGTTCTGGAATCCTATGTGAGGGACAAATATTAAGACTATCATAGCAGTGTTCTGGAATCCTATGGGAAGGACAATCATTCAGACCCTCGTACCACTGTTCTGTAATTCCGTGTGAGGGACAAAGCTTTAAACCAAAGAAGGAGTGTTCTGGAATCCCCTGTGAGGAACAAACATTCAGACCCTCGTATCAGGGTTCTGGAATCCTATTTGACAGAGAAACATATAGACCCCAGCAACAGAGTTCTGGGGTCCAATGTGAGAAAAAAACAATCAGACCCTCGTAGCAGTGTTCTGGAATCCTATGTGGGAGACAAACATTCAGAGAATCGTAGCAGTTTTCTGGAATGCAATGTGAGGGAAAAACATTCAGACCCCTGTTGCAGTGTTCTGGAAACCTATGTGAGGGACACACATTCAGACCACTGCATGATTGATCTGGAATCCTATGTGAAGGACAAACACTCAGAACACAGCAGGAGTGTTTTGGAATCCTATGTGAGGGACAAACATTCAGAACCTCTTAGCAGTGTTCTGGAAACCTATGTGAGGGACACACACTCAGACCACTGCATGATTGATCTGGAATCCTATGTGAAGGACAAACACTCAGAACACAGCAGGAGTGTTTTGGAATCCTATGTGAGGGACAAAAATTCAGACCCTCTTAGCAGTGTTCTGGAATCCTATGCGAGGGACAAACATTGAAACAATAACTGGAGTGTTCTGAAATCCTATGTTATGGACAAACATTCAGATCCTCATTGCATTGTTATGGAATTCTATGTGAGGGAGAAACACTCAGAAACTAACAGCAGTTTTCTGGCATCCTACGTGACAGACAAACTTTTAGACCCCAGCAGCAGTGTTCTGGAATCCTACCTGAGGGACAAACTTTGAGACCCCAGCAGCAGTGTTGTTGAATCCTATGTGAGGGACAAAAATTAAGACCCCGGCAGGAGTGTTCTGGAATCTTTTGTGAAAGACAAACATTCAGACACAGCAGGAGTGTTCTGGAATTGTATGTTAGCAACAAACATTCGCATTCTAGCAGCAGAGTTCTTTGGTCCTATGTGAGGCACAAACTTCCAGACGCTCGTAGCAGTTTTCTGGAATATTATGTGATGGAAAAACATTCAGAATCTCATAGCAGTGCTTTGGAATCCTATGTGAGCACAAACATTCGGACCCCAGCAGCAGTGTTCTGGAATCCTATTTGAGGCACAAACATTCAGACCCTCGTAACAGTGTTCTGGAATGCTATGTGATGGAGATCCATTCATACTACAGCAGCAGAGTTCTGGAATCTTGTGTGAGGGACAGACATTCAGACCACAGCCGGAGTGTTATGGAATCCTATATTAGGGACAAACATTCAGACCCTTGTAGCAGTTTTCTGAAACCCTATGTGAGAGAGAAACATTCGGACCTCAGCAGCAGCATTCTAGAATCCTATATGAGGCACATTCATTCAGACCCTCGTTGCAGTGATCTGGAATCCTATGTGAGGGACAAACACTCAGAACACAGCAGGAGTGTTTTGGAATCCCCTGTGAGGAACAAACATTCAGACCCTCATAACAATGTTCTGGAATCCTATGCGAGGGACCAACATTCAGACAATCGTAGAAGTGTTCTGGAATCCTATGTGAGGGACAAACATTCAAACAACAGCGGGAGTGTTCTGGAATCCTATGTTAGGAACGTATATTCAAACCGTCGTTGCAGTGTTCTGGAATTCTAAGTGAGGGACAAACACTCAGAACCCAGCTGCAGTCTTCTGGAACCCTGTTTGAGAGACCAACATTCAGACAATCGTAGAAGTGTTCTGGAATCCTATGTGAGGGACAGTCATTCAAACACTCGTAGCAGTGTTCTGGAATCCTATGTGAAGTACAAATACTCAGAACCCAGCAACAGTGTTCTGGAACCCTATGTGAGATACAAACATTCCGACCACAGCTGTATTCTTCTGGAATCCTATGTGAGTGACAAATATTCAGAGCCCCGTAGCAGTGTTCTGGAATCCTATGTGAGGGACAAACATTCAGACCCCATCAGTAGTGTACTGGAATAACATGAGAGGGACAATCATTCAGACCCTCAGAGCAGTGTTCTGGAATTCTGTGTGATGGACATACATTAGGAACCTCGTAGCAGTGTTCTGGAATCCTGTCTGAGGGACAAACATTCAGACCACAGCAGGAGTGTTATGGAATCCCCTGTGAGGAGGAAACATTCAGACCCTCGTAGCAATGTTCTGGAATCCTACGTGATGGACAAACATTTAGACCATACCAGCAGTGTTCTGGAATCCTATGTGAGGTACAAACACTCAGAACCCAGCAGCAGTGTTCTGGAACCCTATGTGAGGGACAAACATTCAGACCACTGCAGGATTGTTCTGGAATCCTATGTTAGGGACAAACACTCAGAACACAGCAGGAGTGTTTTGGAATTCTATGTGAGAGACAAATTTTGAGACCCTCGTAGCAGTGTTCCAGAATCATATGTGAGGGAGAAACATTCAGACAATCGTATCAGTGTTCCAGAATCATATGTGAGGGACATTCAGACCCTCGGAGCATTGTTCTGGAATGCTATGTTAGGGACAAACATTTAGACAATCGTAGCAATGTTCTGGAATAATATGTGAGGGACAAACATTCAGACAGTCTCAGCAGTGTTCTGGAATCCTATGCGAGGGACAAACATTCAGACCTCAGCAGCAGTGTTCTGGAATCCTATGTGAGGGACAAACATTAAAACAACAGCGAAAGTGTTCTGGAATCCTATGTTATGAACAAACATTCAGACCCTCGTCGCAGTGTTCTGGAATTCTATGTGAGGGAGAAATACTCAGAACCCAGCAGCAGGGTTCTGGAATCATGTGAAGGACATACATATAGACTCCAGCAGCATTGTTCTGGAATCCTATGTGAGGGACAAACATTCACACCCCAGCAACAGCGTTCTGGAATCCTATATGAGGGACAATCATTCAGATGCTTGTAGCAGTGTTCTGGAATCCTGTGTGAGGGACAAACTTTCAGATGCTCGTAGCAGTGTTCTGGAATTCTGTGTGAGGAACAAACCTTCAGACCCTCTTAGCAGTGTTCTGGAATCATATGTGTCGGACAAACATTTAGACCTCAGCAGCACTGTTCTAGAATCCTATGTGAGGGGCAATCATTCAGACACTCGCAGCGGTGTTCAGGAATCCGATGTGAGGGACAAACACTCAGAACCCAGCAGCAGTGTTCTGGAACCCTATTTGAGGGACAAACAGTCAGATCACAGCTGTATTGTTCTGAAATCCTATGTGAGGAACAAACATTCAGACATTCGTAACGGTGTTCTTGAATCCTACGTGAGGGACAAACATTCAGACGCCAGCAGCATTGTTTTGGAATCCTATGTAAGGGACAAGCATTCAAACAACAGCGGGAGTGTTTTGGAATCCTATGTGTGGGACAAACTTTAAGACAACAGCAGGAGTCTTCTGAAATCCTATGTGAGAAACAAACATTTACAACACAGCAGCAGTGTCCTGGAGTCCTATGTGAGGGGCAAATATTCAGAACCTCGTAGCAGTTTTCTGGAATCCTAGGAGAGGGACAAACACTCACAACCCAACAGGAGTGTTCTGGGACCCTGTGTGAGGGAAAAGCATTCAGACAACAACAAGAGTGTTCTGGAATCATATGTGAGGGAGAAACACTCATACCACATCAGGAGTGTTCTAGAATCCCCTGTGAGGGACAAACATTCAGACCCTGGTAAGAGTGTTACGGAAACCTATGTGAGGGGTAAGCATTTAGTTCCTCCTAGCAGTGTTCTGGAATTCTATGTGGGGGACAAACAGTCAGACCACAACAGGAGTGTACTAGAATCCCCTGTGAGGGACAAACATTCAGACCTTTGAAGCAGTGTTCTGGAATACTAGTGAGGGACAAAGATTCAGACTAGAGCAGAATTCTTCTGGAATCCTATGTGAGGAACGGATATTTAGACCACATCAGGAGTGTTCTGGAATGCTATTTGAGGGACAAACATTCAGTCCCTCTTAGCAGTGTTCTGGAATCCTTTGTGAGGGCTAACCACTCAGAACCCAGCAGCATGTTCTGTAATCCTATGAGAGGGACAAACATTCATACCACAGGAGGAATGTTCTGGAATCCTATGTGAGAGACAGACATTCAGACCCTGGTAGCAGTGTTCTGGAATCCTATGTGAAGGCCAAACACTCAGAAACCAGCAGCAGTGTTGTGGAATCCTATGCGAGCGACAAACATTCAGATGCCAGAAGCATTGTTCTGGAATCCTATATGAGGGGCAAACATTCAGACCTAAGCAGGAGTATTCTTTAATCCTATGTGATGGATAAACATTCGGACCCCTGCAGCAGTGTTCTGGATACCTATGTGTGGGAGAAACAGTCAGAAGCCAGCAGAACGGTTCTGGAATCCTCTGTGATGGACAAACATTTAGAGCCTAGAAGCATTTTTAAGCAATCCTATGTGAGGGAGAAAACATCCAGACCCCAGCAGAAGTGTTCTGGAATCCTTTTTGAAGGAACAACATTTAGTCCCCAGCCGCAGTGTTCTGGAATCCTATGTGAAGGACAAACATTCAGACCCTCCTAGCAGTGTTGTGGAATCCTATGTGAGGGAAAAACATACAGATCACAGCAGGAGGGTTATTGAGTCTTATGTGAGGGACAGCCAGAACCCAGCAGGGGTGTTCTGGAATCCTATGTGAGGGACAAATATACAGACCACAGCAGAAGTTTTCTGGAATCCTTTGTGCAGAACAAACATTCAGACCACAGCAAAATTTTTCCAGAATCCTATGTGAGGGACAAAGCTTCAGAACCTCTTAGCAGTGTTCTTGAATCCTATGTGAGGGACAAACTTTCAGACTCCTGTGGCAGTGTTTTAGAATTCGATGTGAAGGACAAACAATCAAAACCCAGAGGCAGTGTTCTTGGATCTTATGTGAAGGACAAACATTCAGACCCTCTTAGCAGTGTTCTGAAATCCTATGTGAGGGAAAAGTATTCAGACTCTTGTAGCAGTGTTCTGGAATCCGACGTGAGGGAGAAACATTCAGACCACAGAAGGAATGTTCTGGAATCCTATGTGAGTAACGTTCAGACCACAGCACGATTGTTCTGGAATCCCATGTGAGGTACAAACATTCAGACGCCAGCAGCAGTGTTCCGAAATCCTATTTTAGGTACAAACATTCACACCACAGCAGGATTGTTCTGGAATCCTATGTGAGAGACAAACATTCAGACCCCAGGGGCAGTGTTCTGGAATCCTATGTGAGGGACAAACTTTCAGACCACAGCGGGAGTGTTCTGGAATCCTATCTGAGAGACAAACATTCACACCCTCGTAGCAGTGTTCTTGAATCCTATGTGAGGGACAAACATTCAAACTCTCCTAGCAGTGTTCTGGAATCCGATGTGAGGGACAAACACTGCAAACCCAGCAGCAGTGTTCTGGAATCCTAAGTGAGGGACAAACATTCAGACCACAGCAGGAGTGTTGCGGATTCCTATGTGAGGGAGAATAATTCAAACTCTAGTAGCAGTGTTCTGGAATCCTATGTGAGGGACAAACATTCAGAGCCCAGTAGCAGTGTTGTGGAATCTTACTTGAGGGACAAACACTCAGACCATGGCAGGAGTGTTTTGGAATCCTTTGTGAGTGAGAAACACTCAGACCACAAGAGGATTGCTCTGGAATCCCATGTGAGGCAAAACCACTGAGACTACAGCAGCAGTTTTCTGGAATCCCATGTGAGGGTCAACCATTGAGACTACAATAGTAGTGTTCTGGAATCCTATATGAGAGACAATCATTCATACCACAGCAGTAGTGTACTGGAATATTATGTGAGGAACAAGCATTCAGACCACAGCAGCAGTGTTCTGGAATCATACATGAGGGACAAACACTCAGAAGCCAGCAGCGGTGTTCTGGAATCCTATTTGAGCGGCAAACATTCAGAAAAGAGCAAGAGTGTCTTGGAATCCTATGTGAGGTACAATCATTCAGAGCCTCGTAGCAGTGTTCTGGAATCGTACTAGAGGGACAAACACTGAGAACCCAACGCAGTGTTCTGGATTCCTTAGGGGGGGACAAACATTCAGAGCATGGCAGGAGTGTTCTGGAATCCCATGTGAGGGAGAAAAATTCAGACCTTCGTAGCAGTGTTCTGGAATCCTATGTGAGGGACAAACATTTAGACCCAAGTAGCTGTGTTCTGGAATCTTACGTTAAGTACAAACACTCAGAAACCAACAGCAGTGTTCTGGAATCCTAAGTGAGGGACAAACTTTCAGACCACAGCACGAGTGTTCTGGAATCCTGAGTGAGAGACAAACATTCGGAACACAGCAGGAGTGTTCTGGAACGCTATGTCAGGGAGAATAATTCAGACCCTCATAGCAGTGTTCTGGAATCCTATGTGAGGGACAAACATTCAGACTCCAGTAGCAGTGTTTTGGAATCCTATTTGAGGGAGAAACACTCAGACCAGAGAAGAAATGTTTTGGAATCCTATGTGAGGGGGAAACATTCAGAACACAGCAGGATAGATCTGGAAACCCTTGTGAGGCACAAACACCCAGATGACAGGAGGAATGTTCTGGAATCCTATATAAGGGTCAAGTATTCAGACCACAGCAGTAGTGTTCTGGAATCCTATATGAGGGACAAACATTCAGACCCTCGTAGCAGTGTTCTGGAATCCTATGCAAAAGACAAACACTCAGAAACCAGGAGCAGTGTTCTGTAATCCTTTGTGAGGGAGAAACTTTCAGACCACAGAAGGAGTGTTCTGGAATCCTAAGTGAGGGACAAACATTCAGACCAAAGCAGCAGTGTTCTGGACTCCTATGTGAGGGACAAACATTTAGGCCCACGTAGCAGTGTTCTGGAATCCTATGTGAGGGACAAACATTCAGAAACTCGTAGCAGTGTTGTGGAATCCTATGTGAGGGAGAAACACTCAGAACGCAGCAGCAGTGTTCTGGAATCCTATGTGAGGGACAAACATTCAGAGCAGAGCAGGAATGTTCTGGAGTCCTATGTGCGGGACAAACTTTCAATCCCTCATAGCAGTGTTCTGGAATTCTATGTGATGGACAAACATTTACAACCATGAGGCAGTGTTCTGGAGTCATACGTGAGGGACAAACACTCAGATCCCAAACTCAGTGTTCTGGAATCCCATTTGAGGGACAAACATTCAGACCAGAGCAGGAGTGTTCCATAATCCTATGTGAGGTACAATCATTCAGACCCTCGTAGCAGTGTTCTGTAGTCCTATGTGAGGGACAAACACTCAGAACCCAGCAGCATTGTTCTGGAATCTTATATGAGGGACCATCATTCAGACCACAGCTGGCATCTCCTGTAATCCTACGTGTGGGACAAGCATTCAGACTCTCGTAGCACTGTTCTGGAATCCTAGGTTAGGAAAATACATTCAGAACACAGCAGGAGTGTTCTGGAGTCCTATGTGCGGGACAAACATTGAGACCCTTGTAGCACTGTTGTGGAATCCTATGTGAGGGAGAAACACTCAGAACCCAGCAGCAGTGTTCTGGAATCCTATGTGAGGGACAATCATTCAGACCACAGCTGGAGTGTTCTGGAATCCTACTTGTGGGACAAGCATTCAGACCCTCGTAGCATTGTTCTGTAATCCTATGTTAGGAAATCACATTCAGAACACAGCAGGAGTGTTCTGGAGTCCTATGTGAGGGACAAAGATTCAGACCCTCATAACAGTGTTCTAGAATCTTATGTGAGGTACAAACATTCAGACCCCCCTAGCAGTGTTCTGGAATTGTATGTGAGGGACAAACACTCAGAACCCAGCAGCAGTGTTCTGGAATCTTATCTGACGGACAAATATTCAGACTAGGGGAGGAGTGCTCTAGAACCCTGTGTGAGGTACAATCATTCAGACCGCAGCAGGACTGTTCTGGAATCATATGTGAGGGGCAATCATTCAGACCACAGCTGATGTGTTCTGGAATCCTACGTGTGGGACAGGCATTCAGACCCTCGTAGCATTGTTCTGGAATCCTATGTTAAGAAAATACAAATGTAAGGCTGAAAGCTGTAAAACTCCTACACAAAAATATAAGGGAAAAATATGCAACGTTATGCCATTGAATTTGGCAGTGGGATCTTGACTGCCAGCTGCCCCACATCCCTGGAACATCCATCCGCTCACCGCTGCCGGGTGCTGGGTCCTTCCACACCTGTCACGCTACTTTGTGAGGGGCTCTGAGGGGCACCAGCCAGGACCCCATGCTGAGCACAGGGCACAGGCCGGGCATTGTCAGGCTATTCGCTGGCAGGCTATCCCCATGCCCGCCTCAGACGCCAGGAGGAAGGGCGGCCTGATCCGAGCCTGCGGAAGGAAGAAGAAGCACGTTTCCTGAGCCAACAGGGACACAGAGGCGGATGCCATAAAATTATATGGCATATATTTTGAAACATGGCCGCAATTTGAATAATTAGAATATCTAAAAACTCCAAAGATTATTATGCTGAAACGGCACCAAAAATTATCATTCCAGTGACTACAGGGAATTTTTAATAGTTGCTATTTTTATAATAAAATTAAACTTTAATGAAATAACTGACTTTCAAACTTCAGCAAGAGGACAAATATTCAGCCAGAGATATCAGTTCCCAGTTTCTGCTCCGGGTCTTCTCTGGTCTTCCACAGCCCCTCCTGCATCACCCAAGGCTAAAGGGCCACGTGGCCTGGCCTGAATCCCCTCGTCCCTCCGCTTCCCCACTCAGCTCCTTCAGCGCCCTCCTGAGGCAGGGGCGGCAAACTGTCCAGAGCTGGAGGCTCCCTCGACCAGGGCAGCACCGCTCCGCCCCTCTCCGCACTTGCCCAGCCCCTGGCAAAGGACGTGCCTGGGCCTGGCCCACTGCACGTCCCCCAACGCCTGCCCTGTGCCTGCAACGGCGACGCTGCCAACAAGAGGTGCCAGAGGCTGAGGCGCAACCTCCCCAGAGCGCAGGGTTCCCACTCACCTGGGAGTAGGGACACGCCCCTCCTGGTAGGTTGTACTGTTAAGATTATTTCCTTATTTATTTTACTTAAAACTGGTAGAATGTTACTATTATATGACGTACCCATGATTCTGCCAGTAAATTTGGGCATACGTTTATTAGTTTTTGTTAGATTAACTAGTTCTTTTGTTTCTGTTATTAAGGTGAAATTTAAATTCTATCTGAAATCAGTAAGATACAGAGAGATTTTAATGAGAAGTGAGTATTTTTTTCTAAAGGGGAACTGATATCTCTGGCTGAATATGTGTCTTCTTGCTGAAGTTTGAAAGTCAGTTATTTTATTAAAGTTTAATTTTACTATAAAAATAACAACTATTAAAAATTCCCTGTCATCATTGGAAGGATAAATTTTGGTGCAGTGTTAGTATAACAATATTTCGAATTTTTAAATGTTCTAATTATTCAAATTGTGGTCATGCTTTAAAAATATATGCCATAGAAGTTATGTTATTTTAAAATACCATTCTTTATTATGGGAAGAAGCAGTAAATTCACCTTAACCGTAGCAGACTCTAGAGCTGGCTAAAACACCCTTTAGAGGTTAAATTGTAATGAGGTAGACCATCAATGCAAAAAACAGTTTTTTTAGTTGTTCCGCTACCTGTGCAAAACTTATTAGAAGAATGTTCAGAAATTAAAATCTGTGTTTGTTAAGACTTGTTTCTGCTGGGGGTTTTAGAATGTAATAAAAGCTATAAATAAAATTCTAAGCCCCGTATCAACTGAACATACTTCCTCTTGAGCAAGAAGACCCCAGAAAAAAACTTAAAAACTGAATTTCTCGCTATGACAGCAAGAGAGGTGTTATGTGCAGGAGATGCTCCAGAGAAGAAGAAAACACACACACACAATACCTTTAAAGGTCAACAAACTCGATCCCACATAAATGGCAATTCAGATATAATAAGCAAATGATAGAATAAGCAAATTGATACAATAAGCAAATTGCAGTGGGAAGGGGAGAAGGAAAAAAATGTGTGTATATATATATATATATATATATGAGGATAGACTACGGAGGATTCATCACCAGACCGAGAAGCAACAGCCTGGGCTCCAGAGTCAGCCACTCATCCATGCACAAAGGAACACAAAAAGGTCAATTTGCTTTTGCCGTTGTCTGTTGTTTTTCAATAACTAAAGTATAGGAATAGATTGAAATAGAGATTTCTCTGAAACAGTGCTGGATGAATGCCTCAAGGGGCTCACAAAACCTATTCCGAGACTTGGTGACCATTATTTGTGTCCATGTTCAATTGAGTTTAAATATATTATTTAACTTTTTCTGCGTATTCGGTCCCAATTGATACTCAAATGTAGGAAAATACCCTTACAGATATACGAGGAATACATAATTGGTAGAGGTTACAGAAGCAGGGTAAGCAGAGGAGAATTAAAACACAGTTAATAAAAACCGCACCCACCAAGGCCAACGCCAATGCCAGTTGGACAGCCAATTCATGATGGGGTCCTGACAGTTAGATTTTGTTTTGCTTGTCCTTGCATGTCTTGGGCGAGGAGAGTAATATTGTGAGAACTGTCAGGGATACACACACAAAATTCAGTATGCAGCAAGGCTGAAACGCTCCTTGGGCTGCGGTAAGCATACCTAATGCCATTTGATTTTGCAACACAACAGTACACAACTGAGCAAATTCCTCTGATAACAACATAAGTCCAGTGCTACTACCATTAAGAGCTTTTTCTCCATGTAAGCTTAATATTTAAATTTTTTGCTGAAGCAGAATTGTATCAGTGGCAGAGGAGAACACTGTTATAGGGTTCACCCCATCAGGGATTCTGGCGCATTTGTAACCAGTGATGTTTGGAAGCATCTAGATTTAGGAAAGAGGTTGTGTTTCATTGGGGACAATGCTGTTGATTTGGAGTATGTGTTGACAATTGTCTGGTGGGAGAAACCCCAGAGTAACATTAAAAGAGCCATTTAAGGCCTCCAGACAAAGGGGGGGTGCGGTGCCATATGGAGTTCAGCTACCGGTATGGTAGGTTCCCTGTATATGTCTTTCCAGGTATATTGGGTAGGATACAAAGGCCTTTGATGCATTGCAAAAGTGGATTTCTCCTTTTGTCAGACTTGGGCAAAAATAGACTCTTTGATTTGGTTAAAAGAAGTCCAGGTGGGATTACAGGTGCTATTCTCCTGACCGCCTTGGTAGTGATGTAACCACTTGGAAATGTTGGCAGAGACAATTTTTTAAGGGAGCCCATTCCCTGCAGCCTGTGGCAATTCGACTAATAGGCAGCACTAACTGCAGTTGACTTCTTTTGCAGCGGTGGCTACTCAGTTGCTAAATGCATTCTTGGCCTCAGACACAAAGAAGCAGGTGCTGACCATCATTCGATAGGCTATTCCTTTTAATAACAAAAACAGAGGGGAACATAACATTGTTTTTAAAATTTTACTACTCCCCTCATTTCCTGCCCCCATACTGTGGCCCCAGGATTTAAGCTGCCCACTTTGGTGGACCCAAATCCTCCAGTTCTATATGATGTTCCTATTGGGGCAGAAATTTCCTCGGGGGTTAATTGGTGACACGGTACTACCAGTAGCTGAGCAATCTGCATCTGTGGCTTTATGGCAAAAGAATTTTCGGTGGTATTGTGTTAAAAGATTTTTAACTCTCACCGGTAATCACTATCAATTACACCACCATACACTATAATGCCTCTCATTCCAATGCTTGGACGTGTGGTAATCCATTCATCCACATTTGAGTTTGCAGTTATGGTGGAAATTTTGGCCTGTTGACCTGCCTGCTGATTAATTAGTCTGCCAAGAGAAAGCAGAGATGCATGAGCATCAACATAACAGTGTTAATGGTAGGGTGCACAGGGATTCAGATATCTTCCCTGTATTCTTTCCCCAAACCTCTTTATTCCCAATTAACCATTTGCCTCATTGCCACTGAGGCATCTAGGTAGTAAGACCATTTGCTACTGACCAAGAGTTGGTATACAAGTGTCAAATCCCTCTGGCCTTCTTCTGAATAGCTGGGAAGATGGCTACTAGCTCAGCCAGCTGGCTGCTCCCATCCCTTCCTTCATCAGAAATACTTATGTTTTTAACAGGATTATAAGCCACGGCCTCCCCGCATCGGGTCCCACCAATGTATTTGGCAGATCCATCAGTAAACCAAGCATGTTTCTGATGCTTTGGATGAGGCAGGTCTCTTTCCCTGCCTGCAGGACTTGTTCGGTGGCTTTCTGAGTTGGCAAATTTTTTAAAAACGATACCCCCTTTGGTCCTGGCTTTGCCCTATCTTGTATATACCATTCCATTATGTGATGCTACTTTCTTCAGCATGCCCTATTCGATGGGTTTTGGTGGACCTCATGACCCAAGTCATAATAGGAATTTCAGGCCTTATGAAGACATCATGGTTGAAACAGAGAGTTTCCATTTCCAGCAAAGCCTGATAGCAAGCTAACAGTCCCTTCTCAAAAGGATTATAAGCTTCGCCAGCCTCTGGCAGCTTCCGGGTTTGAAACCCCAAGAGTCCCCTCTTCCCATCTTGTTTCTGCCAAAGGCTCCAATTAACATGTTAATCCAGGACAGTTGTTTGCAATTCTACTGGCCCATCCCATATGGGCCATCCAGGGCCAGATGCACTGCTTGCTTAGCTTGCTCAAAGGCTGTGTTCTCTTTCTACCTCCAGTGAAAGTCATTACATTTTCTAGTGACTGCATACAGAGGTTGTGAGATGTTACCCAAATCGCTAAGATTCTCCAGAATTCAAAGAAGCCAATAAATTTCTGGGCCTCCTTTTTAGTGGTAGGGGTTGCAAATTCTAGTATTTTAACCATAGCCTTTGGTAAAATGGACTTTTTCCTTGCGTTCCATGGGATGCAAAGCAATTTTATAGTTTGTGCAGGTTCTTGAAATTTGTAAAGGCTAATTTCCCATTCTTCAGATAGGAACTGGGTTTTTACCCACTCCAAGCCCCAGCTGACTCGTTCTTCAGTTTTACCCTGACCACACTACTTGCACAGCTGTTTTTTTCATCAATAATCTGTTAGCTTTGAGCCTGATCAGTCAAGACATAGGCCTGAAATTGAGCCAGGGCCAGTCTGGAAGTCAGAGTAGTGTTTTCTTTTTCCAGCTTACATTTATCTTGTAGCAATTGATTTCTATCTCAACACATTAACTTATGAGCAGTAAGCAAGCACCATCTATGCTAAGAGATCCCCCTGGCATCTCCTTTGCTGACTGAAATCCCCTGCAGCACTTCATGCACAGTCTAAGGTTCAAATTCCACTAATTTAGATACCCAATTTTCACTAAGGTCAGTTCCCCCCGACCATTCAATTGCCAAGAGGGAGAACTGGAGGAGTTTCTATCCTGGAATGTGGGAAGTCCCTGAGCTTCCAGCAGTGATCTTGAAGCTGAAAAGTGAATCCTCCATAGTCTGGTGGGTGTAGTAGCCAACTCTGGAGCCTAGGCTGTTGCTTCCCCATCTGGCCATGAATGCTGTATAGTCTGGTGAGTACATATACATAGATATAGATATAGATAGATAGATACATACATACATAGATATAGATAGATAGATAGATAAAAATATAGATATAGATATAGATATCTGCAATGCCATTTACATGGGATAAAAAGTTGTTTACCCTGAAAGGTATTGTGTGTGTGTCTTTTCTTCTTCCATCAGCATCTCCCACACAGAACAGGAGGAGACAGACAGGCCTTGTTACACACCTGTTTGCTGTTGTACCTCTGTTTGCTCTTTAGGTACAACAAATCATCAGCACTAATGTTAAAATAGAGATCATAAGACTGACAAAACTGACTCTGTGGCAATATAATACCAAATTATTGTCACAATTTAAGGCAGTGCAAGACAAGTGTTAAGCCATGCCTGCAGGTCAGCAATCTTGCTACATAGCATCCCTATCTCCACTTAAGAGTTAAAACTTTTATATCTGCTGACTCCAAGTTTTAGATAGAACATTACCCCTTTAACAGTTAAGCAAGAGGGAGGAGCCAAGATGGCCGAATAGTAACAGCTCCGGTCTACAGCTCCAAGCCTGAGCGACGCAGAAGACGGGTGATTTCTGCATTTCCATCTAAGGTACCGGGTTCATCTCACTAGGGAGTGCCAGACAGTGGGCGCAGGCCAGTGGGTGAGCGCACCGTGCGCGAGCCGAAGCAGGGCGAGGCATTGCCTCACTTGGGAAGCGCAAGGGGTCAGGGAGTTCCCTTTCCAAGTCAACGAAAGGGGTGACGGACGCACCTGGAAAATCGGGTCACTCCCACCCGAATATTGCGCTTTTCACACTGGCTTAAAAAACGGCGCACCACGAGATTATATCCCACACCTGGCTCGGAGGGTCCTACGCCCACGGAATCTCGCTGATTGCTAGCACAGCAGTCTGAGATCAAACTGCAAGGCGGCAGCGAGGCTGGGGGAGGGGCGCCCGCCATTGCCCAGGCTTGCTTAGGTAAACAAAGCAGCCGGGAAGCTCGAACTGGGTGGAGCCCACCACAGCTCAAGGAGGCCTGCCTGCCTCTGTAGGCTCCACCTCTGGGGGCAGGGCACAGACAGCAGTAACCTCTGCAGACTTAAATGTCCCTGTCTGACAGCTTTGAAGAGAGCAGTGGTTCTCCTAGCATGCAGCTGGAGATCTGAGAACCGGCAGACTGCCTCCTCAAGTGGGTCCCTGACCCCTGACCCACGAGCAGCCTAACTGGGAGGCACCCCCCAGCAGGGGCACACTGACACCTCACACGGCAGGGTATTCCAACAGACCTGCAGCTGAGGGTCCTGTCTGTTAGAAGGAAAACTAACAAAGAGAAAGGACATCCACACCGAAAACCCATCGGTACATCACCATCATCAAAGACCAAAAGTAGATAAAACCAAAAAGATGGGGAAAAAACAGAACAGAAAAACTGGAAACTCTAAAACGCAGAGCACCTCTCCTCCTCCAAAGGAACGCAGTTCCTCACCAGCAACGGAACAAAGCTGGATGGAGAATGACTTTGACGAGCTGAGAGAAGTCTTCACACGATCAAATTACTCTGAGCTACGGGAGGACATTCAAACCAAAGGCAAAGAAGTTGAAAACTTTGAAAAAAGTTTAGAAGAATGTATAACTAGAATAACCAATACAGAGAAGTGCTTAAAGGAGCTGATGGAGCTGAAAACTAAGGCTCGAGAACTACGTGAAGAATGCAGAAGCCTCAGGAGCCGATGCGATCAACTGGAAGAAAGGGTATCAGCAATGGAAGATGAAATGAATGAAATGAAGCTAGAAGGGAAGTTTAGAGAAAAAAGAATAAAAAGAAATGAACAAAGCCTCCAAGAAATATGGGACTATGTGAAAAGACCAAATCTACGTCTGATTGGTGTACCTGAAAGTGATGGGGAGAATGGAACCAAGTTGGAAAACACTCTGCAGGATATTATCCAGGAGAACTTCCGCAATCTAGCAAGGCAGGCCAACGTTCAGATTCAGGAAATACAGAGAACGCCACAAAGATACTCCTCGAGAAGAGCAACTCCAAGACACAAAATTGTCAGATTCACCAAAGTTGAAATGAAGGAAAAAATGTTAAGGGCAGCCAGAGAGAAAGGTCGGATTACCCTCAAAGGGAAGCCCATCAGACAAACAGCGGATCTCTCGGCAGAAACCCTACAAGCCAGAAGAGAGTGGGGGCCAATATTCAACATTCTTAAAGAAAAGAATTTTCAACCCAGAATTTCATATCCAGCCAAACTAAGCTTCATAAGTGAAGGAGAAATAAAATACTTAACAGACAAGCAAATGCTGAGAGATTTTGTCACCACCAGGCCTGCCCTAAAAGAGCTCCTGAAGGAAGCACTAAACATGGAAAGGAACAATCGGTACCAGCTGCTGCAAAATCATGCCAAAATGTAAAGACCATCGAGACTAGGAAGAAACTGCATCAACTAACGAGCAAAATAACCAGCTAACATCATAATGACAGGATCAAATTCACACATAACAATATTAACTTTAAATGCAAATGGACTAAATTCTCCAATTAAAAGACACAGACTGGCAAATTGGATAAAGAGTCAAGACCCATCAGTGTGCTGTATTCAGGAAACCCATCTCACGTGCAGAGACACACATAGGCTCAAAATAAAGGGATGGAAGAAGATCTACCAAGCAAATGGAAAACAAAAAAAGGCAGGGGTTGCAATCCTAGTCTCTGATAAAACAGACTTTAAACCAACAAACATCAAAAGAGACAAAGAAGGCCACTACATAATGGTAAAGGGATCAATGCAACAAGAAGAGCTAACTATCCTAAATATATATACACCCAATACAGGAGCACCCAGATTCAGAAAGCAAGTCCTGAGTGACCTACAAAGAGACTTAGACTCCCACACATTAATAATAGGAGACTTTAACACCCCACTGTCAACATTAGACAGATCAACGAGACAGAAACTCAACAAGGATACCCAGGAATTGAACTCAGCTCTGCACCAAGTGGACCTAATAGACATCTACAGAACTCTCCACCCCAAATCAACAGAATATACATTTTTTTCAGCACCACACCACACCTATTCCAAAATTGACCACATCGTTGGAAGTAAAGCTCTCCTCAGCAAATGTAAAATAACAGAAATTATAACAAACTATCTCTCAGACCACAGTGCAATTCAACTAGAACTCAGGATTGAGAATCTCACTCAAAACCACTCAACTACATGGAAACTGAACAACCTGCTCCTGAATGACTACTGGGTACATAACGAAATGAAGGCAGAAATAAAGATGTTCTTTGAAACCAACGAGAACAAAGACACAACATACCAGAATCTCTGGGACGCATTCAAAGCAGTGTGTAGAGGGAAATTTATAGCACTAAATGCCCACCAGAGAAAGCAGGAAAGATCCAAAATTGACACCCTAACATCACAATTAAAAGAACTAGAAAAGCAAGAGCAAACACATGCAAAAGCTAGCAGAAGGCAAGAAATAACTAAAATCAGAGCAGAACTGAAGGAAATAGAGACACAAAAAACCCTTCAAAAAATCAATGAATCCAGGAGCTGGTTTTTTGAAAGGATCAACAAAATTGATAGACTGCTAGCAAGACTAATAAAGAAAAAAAGAGAGAAGAATCAAATAGACGCAATAAAAAATGATAAAGGCGATATCACCACCAATCCCACAGAAATACAAACTACCATCAGAGAATACTACATCACCTCTATGCAAATAAACTAGAAAATCTAGAAGAAATGGATACATTCCTTGACACATACACTCTCCCAAGACTAAACCAGGAAGAAGTTGAATCTCTGAATAGACCAATAACAGGATCTGAAATTGTGGCAATAATCAATAGTTTACCAACCAAAAAGAGTCCAGAACCAGATGGATTCACAGCTGAATTCTACCAGAGGTACAAGGTGGGACTAGTACCTTTCCTTCTGAAACTATTCCAAACAATAGAAAAAGAGGGAATCCTCCCTAACTCATTTTATGAGGCCAGCATCATTCTGATACCAAAGCCGCGCACAGACACAATGAAAAAAGAGAATTATAGACCAATATCCTTGATGAACATTGATGCAAAAATCCTCAATAAAATACTGGCAAACCGAATCCAGCAGCACATCAAAAAGCTTATCCACCATGATCAAGTGGGCTTCATCCCTGGGATGCAAGGCTGGTTCAATATACGCAAATCAATAAATGTAATCCAGCATATAAACAGAGCCAAAGACAAAAACCACATGATTATCTCAATAGATGCAGAAAAAACCTTTGACAAAATTCAACAACCCTTCATGCTAAAAACTCTCAACAAATTAGGTATTGATGGGACGTATTTCAAAATAATAAGAGCTATCTATGACAAACCCACAGCCAATATCATACTGAATGGGCAAAAACTGGAAGCATTCCCTTTGAAAACTGACACAAGACGGGGATGCCCTCTCTCACCACTCCTATTCAACACAGTGTTGGAAATTCTGGCCAGGGCAATTATGAAGGAGAAGGAAATAAAGGGTATTCAATTAGGAAAATAGGAAGTCAAATTGTCCTTGTTTGCAGACGACATGATTGTATATCTAGAAAACCCCATTGGCTCAGCCCAAAATCTCCTTAAGCTGATAAGCAACTTCAGCAAAGTCTCAGGGTACAAAATCAATGTACAAAAATCACAAGCATTCTTATACACCAACAACAGACAAACAGAGAGCCAAATCATGAGTGAACTCCCATTCAGAATTGCTTCAAAGAGAATAAAATACCTAAGAATCCAACTTACAAGGGATGTGAAGGACCTCTTCAAGGAGAACTACAAACCACTGCTCAAGGAAATAAAAGAGGATACAAACAAATGGAAGAACATTCCATGCTCATGGGTAGGAATAATCAATATCGTGAAAATGGCCATACTGCCCAAGGTAATTTACAGATTCAATGCCATCCCCATCAAGCTACCAATGACTTTCTTCACAGAATTGGAAAAAACTACTTTAAAGTTCATATGGAACCAAAAAAGAGCCCGCATCGCCAAGTCAATCCTAAGCCAAAAGAACAAAGCTGGAGGCATCACACTACCTGACTTCAAACTATACTACAAGGCTACAGTAACCAAAACAGCATGGTACTGGTACCAAAACAGAGATATAGATCAATGGAACAGAACAGAGCCCTCAGAAATAATGCCGCATATCTACAACTATCTGATCTTTGACAAACCTGACAAAAACAAGCAATGTGGAAAGGATTCCCTATTTAATAAATGGTGCTGGGAAAACTGGCTAGCCATATATAGAAAGCTGAAACTGGATCCCTTCCTTACACCTTATACAAAAATCAATTCAAGATGGATTAAAGAGTTAGACATTAGACCTAAAACCATAAAAACCCTAGAAGAAAACCTAAGCATTACCATTCAGGACATAGACATGGGCAAGGACTTCATGTCCAAAACACCAAAAGCAATGGCAACAAAAGACAAAATTGACAAATGGGATCTAATTAAATTAAAGAGCTTCTGCACAGCAAAAGAAACTACCATCAGAGTGAACAGGCCACCTACAAAATGGGAGAAAATTTTCGCAACCTACTCATCTGACAAAGGGCTAATATCCAGAATCTACAATGAACTCAAACAAATTTACAAGAAAAAAACAAACAACCGCATCAAAAAGTGGGCAAAGGATATCAACAGACACTTCTCAAAAGAAGACATTTATGCAACCAAAAAACACATGAAAAAATGCTCATCATCACTGGCCATCAGAGAAATGCAAATCAAAACCACAATGAGATACCATCTCACACCAGTTAGAATGGCAATCATTCAAAAGTCAGGAAACAACAGGTGCTGGAGAGGATGTGGAGAAATAGGAACACTTTTACACTGTTGGTGGGACTGTAAACTAGTTCAACCATTGTGGAAGTCAGTGTGACGATTCCTCAGGGATCTAGAACTAGAAATACCATTTGACCCAGCCATCCCATTACTGGGTATATACCCAAAGGACTATAAATCATGCTGCTATAAAGACACATGCACACGTATGTTTACTGCGGCATTATTCACAATAGCAAAGACTTGGAACCAACCCAAATGTCCAACAATGATAGACTGGATTAAGAAAATGTGGCACATATACACCATGGAATACTATGCAGCCATAAAAAATGATGAGTTCATGGCCTTTGTAAGGACATGGATGAAATTGGAAATCATCATTCTCAGTAAACTATCACAAGAACAAAAAACCAAACACCGCATGTTCTCACTCATAGGTGGGAATTGAACAATGAGATCCCATGGACACAGGAAGGGGAATATCACACTCTGGGGACTGTTTTGGGGTGGGGGGAGGGGGGAGGGATAGCATTGGGAGATATACCTAATGCTAGATGACGAGTTAGTGAGTGCAGCACACCAGCATGGCACATGTATACATATGTAACTAACCTGCACAATGTGCACATGTACCCTAAAACTTAAAGTATAATTTAAAAAAATAAAAAAATAAAAAATAAAACAACTGCCCATTTTACCATCTCTTCAGTCCTTGACAAGCACCATTCTAACTTTTTTTTCCTATGAGTTTGTCTACTTAAGATATCTGATTATGAATGGAATCATAGAGTGTCACTTTGTTCCTGGCTTATTTCAATTAACATGATCTTCTCCAGAATTATCATATAATGTGTCTTTTTAAAGACTGAATAATATTCGACTTTGTGTATGTGCCACTTGTTCTTAATCTGTTCATTGGTCAAGGGACATCTGGATTGTTTCTGCCTTTTGGCTTGTGTTAATAATATTGCAATAAATTTGGTTGTGCAAATATCTCTTCCAGATCTGCGTTGTATATTTTAAGTACATAGCCAGAAGGGGGTTTGCTGGATTATATAATAATCTCATTTTAAATTTTTTGAAGAGCTGTCATACTATTTTAAATATCGGCTTGAGGCCATAGATTATTGTGACTTTGCTCTGCATTTTTCTAGAAGAGTGATGTCGAGTATCCTTTTATTTTTTTATTTTATTTTTTTAATTTCATAAACATTTATTCACAGCCCCTTTAAAAGTACAGCAGTGAAGTAAAACCCCAATTAAACAACTGCCCATTAACTTGTTACTTAAAATTTAGACTTAAAAACCAATAGACTTTTTTTTTGGTGTGTATGCAATTACTTTTATAAACACAGTTTAGGTTGGAATAAGGAAGTCCTAATTCATCATGTTGGAGCTTGCCCTCACTGCTGCAGGCTGTTGAAGTGAGCCTCCTTCAAGGTCTGGTTGATATGGGAGTAAAGACCTTGGCATGGTACATACCCCTCATGCAAGAACTGGGGAAAGTTTGCATTGGGTTCAGTAACAATCTGGTTTAAGTTGCCTTCTGGTCCACCTGCTCTCTCTGGGATATTAAGGCGGCTGCTGCTCCTTTCATTATCACTCCATGAAAACAGTGTCTTGAGAATCCTGAAAGATAGGGTTTCTCTTATTCCTTTTGGGCTGGGTGGAATGATGGTTGCCCTCTTTACTGCCATTTCTTCTTCTTTTCCGTACAGGGCATCCTCCCATAGTCCTGCCCTCGGACGAGTATCCTTTTAAATACCTAGTCATTTCTATGTCTTCTTTGGAGAAAGGTCATTTCAAACATTTACCATTCTAAATCAAGTTATTAACATTTTGTTGTTGTTGAATTTTAGGAGTTTATATCTTTTGGAAATTAACACCTACCAAATATGTGATTAGAAAATATTTTTACACTTTTTTGTTATATGTATGTATGTATGCACATATATTACCCTATACAAGACAGGGTCTTGATATATTTTCATGGCTAGTCTCAAACTTTTGGCCTCAAATGATCGTTCTGACTTGGCCTCCTAAATTTCTAGAATTATAGGCATGAGCCAGCATGCCCAGGTTTCACCCACTTATTAGGTGACATTTGTATGCCACTAAATGTTTTCCTTGATGTGTAGAATACTTGAAGGTTAATGTAGTTCCTTTCTTTTTTGTTCTTTTCCTTGTTTCTTATGAATTTGATGTCATACTTAAGCAAAGTTTTAAGACTTACGTCATAAACTTTTCCCCTATGTTTACTTCTAAGAATTTTATTAGTTTTTATGTTTAAGCATTAAATCCATTAAAAAACAACTTTTCTTTTTATATATAATACAAAAGAAGCGTCCAACTTTATTTTTGCTCTGTAAACATTCAATTTTGAAAATTCTTTGTTAAAGAGATTCTTATTTTTCTATTGCATGGTCATGGAAAGCATATGGAAGATTATTTTATCACGTATGCAAGGGTTTATTTCCAGGATGTCTATTCTGTTTCATCATCTATGTATCCGTTTTTGTGGCAATACCATATTGTTTTTATTTTTGTAGCTTTGTATCATGATTTTAAATCAGAAAATGTAATAACTCTTTGTCCTTTTTAAAGGGTGTTTGCCTAGTCACAGTTCCTAAACAACTTTTAGAATTATACACAAAAATTCTGCAAAAAAAATACCATTGGGATTTAGATGAAAATTACATTACATTTTTATATCATCATGGGTAATACTGACAACTTTTTTTTTTTCCTTTGGAGATGGAGTTTTAGTGAGTCACTCAGGCTGAAGGGCAGTGGTGTGAGCTGTGCTCACTGCAAGCTCTGCTTCCCATGTTCAAGAAATTCTCCAGTCTCAGCCACCAGAGTAGCTGGGATTACAGTCATGCACCAACATGTATAGCTAACTTTTGTATTTTTAGTAGAGATAGGGTTTTGCCATGTTGGCCAGGCTAGTCTCAAACTTCTGATCTCAAGTGATCCACACACTTTGGCCTCCCAAAGTCCTGGGATTACAGGCGTGAGTCACGCGCCGGCCCTGACATCTTAACAATATTAAATCACCTGACACTTGAGCAAGACTATATGTAAGATTTTGCTTAATTTCCTCTTATTTACGTATCTGAAACATTTTCTTGCTTTTGATTTCTAGTTTCATTTACATTGCATGACTTCAGTTTTCTTAAATTTAATAAGACATGTATCCTAACAGAATGTACCATGTGTGATTGAGAATATTGCATATTTTGCTGCTTTCGATCACAGAGTTCTGTAAATGCTTGTTAGGTCTATAATGTTCAGGTTTGGCTTTCTTACTGATATTACATCTGACTATTCTAGTCATTATTGAAAGTGGAGTCTTGAAGTCCGCAATTGTTGTGTTGCTATATATTTCTTGCTTGACTTCTGTCAATATTTGTTTTACATATTTGAAAGACGAGAATCAGTTGAACCTGGGAGGCGGAGGTTGAAGTGAGCCAATCGCGAGATCGTGCCATTGTCCTCCAGCCTGGGAGACAGAAACTCTATCTCCAAAAAAAAAAATAAGAAAGATATCAGTGTTATTTATAGTAATATAAAAATTTAATGTAATTTTTATCAAAATCCCAATGGTATATTTTTGCAGATTTTTCAAATTATATATATGATTTCTAAATTATTGTTATGGAATTCTTGCAAGTTAATCCATCTCACCATTACATAATAACAATCTGTCTCTTTTTAAAATTTTTAACTTAAAATATATTTTGTTTAATATAATTATGACCATGCCCCTCCAATTGTAGCTACTCTTTGCATAAAATATATTTTCTTCATACTGCTACTTTCAACTTATTTGAGTCCTTAGAGCTAAAGTGACTCTTGTAGAGAGTACATTGCTGGATGTTCTTTGTTCTTAATCCATTAAATCATTTTATGCATTTTCTTTAAGGTATTTAACTTTTTGTATTTGAAGTAATTACTGTAGTTAATGAAGTTACTATTATTATTTGTAATTGTCTTCTGTGTTTCTTGTAGATGAGTTATTTATCATATTTTCTCTTACTGCTTTATTTTTCTTCATTGATTTTGTAGTGACATGATTCAATTTCTTTCTCATTTGCTTCTGCATACCATCTACAGGTTTTTTTTGTAATCATCTTGAGAAATAAAGACTTCATAAAACATCTTAAAGTTATGACAATATATAATGACTATATTTCAATGGAATGCAAAGCTTTACCTCTTTATACACCCACTTTGTTATTAATATCACTTGTTATCTTTTCTTATTGAGTATCTATGAACCCAAATTTATGCAGCTTTCTGCTTCATTTTTTAAATTCCACAGCAATAACGTGAAAGTTTTGTGCACCATCATTATGACAGTAGAGGTTTCTATAGCTGTTTATGTATTTACCTTTAATAGAGAGCTTTCTATTTTCATATGCTTTTATGACGCTGTGCAGCATATATTGTCATTTTTGGACGTGATAGACTTTCTTTTACATTTCCTTTAGCACTGTTCCAGTGGTTAGTAACACACTCAACTTTTATTTGTTTGGGAAATGCTTAACTTTTTTTTCTGAAGTGAAATTATTCCAGTTGAAGGTTTTTGTTTAGCATGATTTCTTCTTGTTTAATTACCTTGTCATCTAGGGAGTTCTCAGCTACTTTTTAAAAATATCCTCTTTATTATTTTTCTCCTATGCTGTTTTTCTAAGACTCCTTTTATAAATACAGTGGTCCACTTGGTGGTGTGCTGTAAGTCCCAATTTTCATTTTTCCTCTATTCTGTTTAAAAAATTTGTTTTCATGAATCAGTATTTATAAGTGCAATGTTATCAACTGTCTAATTTTTTCTGCTTTATTAAATCCGCTTTTGTGACTGCTGATTAAATTTTTAATATAGTTACTGTGTTCTTCAGAGTCACAATTTTTCTTGGTTTTTAAAAATCTTTTTATTGATATCTCGTTTTCTTCATGCATCACTTCTAATATTCTTTTGTTGTCTATGTTCTGTTTTTGTTCATTAAGCACTTTTTTCTAATTACATTTTAATGTAATTAGAATGTCCACCTTTACAATACACAAATACAGTAACGGTAACTCGCACTAAAACAAAGCATACTTCTGATAGCCATTATTTTTCTCTTTGGGACAAATTTAAAGTTTTTCTTTTATCACAAAAACAGGAATGTACTTATACAAAGGCTCAAAATAGGCCATCTTTTTAAACAAAAAGGCAATGATTCACAAAAGACTATGAATAGAACATGTAACTAATTGATACAAATCTAATAGGATTTGTTAAAATCAGCCACATCCAATACATCTGAAGTGTTCTTGTATAAAATATCACGTGAAGAAAAGAAGACTTTATCAATATCTTAAAAAGTGGGTTTGTTCATAGTCTGACAAGTTACCATTAAAAGTGTTTCCTGTGACATAAGGAAATGCAATATTATTTTTCTTGAACCCTTTCAGCGCAAGACTTTCCACTCAATAAAATCGCAGAGGATCTGAAACTGAGAAAATATACTTGATTACTAACAGCTTGTGAAACTTAATACTTGTTTTTTATTTTTTGCATCATCAGCGGCTTTTACTGAACTTACAACCAACTTGCCGCTCAATATGCAGCTCAGATGTGAGAGACGCATCTCTGTACAGGAGCCGGTACTGTCTTCAATCCTTTGCATGCAGGTGTTTACCACAGGCAAACAGTTTACTCCACATTTTCTAGTAATGTAATCTTCCTATTAGCAAAAAGTGGTAACCAGTCCCTGTAGACTGAAGGGACTCAAGTCACAGGATGCGGATTTCCTCTTCATGGTTTTTATTTTGATATTTGAACTGCTGATGCAACATATAAGCAGGGTGTTCAGGACCTGCTGTGCCTAAGGGACTGATAAAGGGAAAAGTTCTATTTATTCTTTGTGATTTGATGCACAGATGAAAAACTTAACACACAATAATAGAAGTTGGTCGTTAATAAATCACACCCTAGTCTTTCAGAGCTTCCGTAAGCAGACGACATTGTCAGTTTTCTAGCTCTTGTTTTAACACTGCAACAACAATGATGCATATGTCCGGAATCAGCTAAAAAGGCCGTCAGATTCTTTTTCTCCTAGATTATCTATTTTTCACTGTTCCCAAGTATATCTGAATAATTACCTTCCGGAATTCTCTGCTATTGCTCGTTGGGATGCTCTCGACTGTCCCCGTGTTTTGTGGGCTGTTGGGAGAGGGCCCTTGGGAAGGATGTACCACTGTTGGGAGGTTGTCAGTCACTGGGATGTCTCCAGGGATGATGCCTTCCCTGGCTGCAGAAGTCCTTCTGGAGCCACGCCCACCATGCCTGGCAGATATCTGTAGGTAGCACTACTGAGCTCAGGATGAATTTCTTGCTGGTCTATTACGGACCAAAGCGCTGATGTGACAAAGAATTCCTTGTTCACACAGTTTCTTAAGCTTCCCGGGATACTTATGATGGCTTGGCGGATCTCAGTGGCAACTGCCTCGCTCATCTCCAGTGACACCTGCTGGCTGTAGCAGGCAGTGAGAGGAGTAAGGATGAGATTCCAGGCATCTTTCAACAGACCCTGAGCAAAACTAAAGGGCTCCGACTCATTCACATCGAGGGCTGCCCCTTGTATTCTGCCCTCCTTGAGGGTGTGTGCTCAGGCTTTCTCGTCCACCAGGCCACCACGGGCTTCGTTCACAAGGAATGCTCCCTGCCTCATCTGCTTTATGGTAAAGTCATGGATAAGGTGGTAGTTTTATTCGTTGAGATTGCAATGCAAGAAGACGCAGTCGTTCTGATACAGCAAATCCTGCTGGGTGTAGACCCTATGCACACCCAGGGACCGCTCGATCCCATCTTGCAAAGGCCTTGGCTCGAACTGCAACCTCCTGCTGCGTGCGACCGAAGCCGATGAGGCCCAATATCTCCCCACGAATGCGGGCCTTTACTGAGGCCACCTCGCCAATCTGCTCCACGCTCTGAACTCGAGTGCCTTCCCTCAGTGCCTGGTACAGCGACCTGTTCCCCCAGTACAGATTGAGGATGTGGCCGGTGGTGGAGTCAGCTGTCTCTTCCACGGCTGCGGACGGGATGCTGCACACAGCAATTTCGAGCTCGCCAGCAGCCTTGATGGCCACGTTGTCGTAGCCACTGCCCACCTGCACGATCACTCTCAGGGCCTTGAAATTTTCCAGGTCCTCCCTGGTGAGGGAGAAGGTGTGGTACATCATGGCGCCCACGACTTCGTTTAGAACTTTCTCGTGGATCTCCTGCATGGACTGAGCCTCACAGAAGTCCAGGTGGCCAGGTCCTTCAGGATGGGCATGTCCACAGTGCAGTCCCGTCCATCCAGCAGAGCCACCACGAGGCGGGGTTCAGGGTGACTTTCATGATCTGGGGGTGAATTCCTCACAAATTCTGTCCAATCGCTGTCTCTTGACTTAGCGCTTATCCACAAGGGCCATTCTTTAGGGAACTTTGCAACTCTCAGATCAAAAGGCAAAGCAGTCCTCTAAGAACTTAGGGGAACTCGCAGGAGTCTGCGTGCATGACGCCACTATGAACCCAATATAAATTTGTTCACAAACTCTATAGTTCACACGATGGGTTGTCCGTCTTTTTAAGGGAATACAGCTTCTTTGGTTCAAAACCATTTAAGGTGATGAAACCCGTTTGCTTGCAACTCCGCCACAATCGCGCAGCCACCAACGAATCTCACCACGACCCCAGGCCGAAGCCGCCTCCATTCCCAGGGATCGCGGACTCCGGGCGCTCTATACCTGGGGTCGTGGTGAGATTCTCCCTTGGATGCCCCTGTTCTACAGTAAAGGAAATATCTTTGGAATGTAAAAAGAGAGAAAATAATAGGCATCACCCCAATAGGCAAGAATGAACAAATAACAAAGATGAGAGGTGCAAAGACCAAGGAGGAAACTTTAAAAATGTGATGTGGGAAGTTCGCTTCAATGAAATTGGTTCTGGAAAATCCTAGATTTACTTCTTTTGCTGCCACAGATGGACATTTCCTACGCTATGCTTATTATGCTCCTAAATCTTCTAAGGCTCCTCCTGTCCCTCCACTAACATTCCAGGGCTTTCACAGTGACAGCCAAAGTTCGCCTCTTCTTTCTATTATTCCCTTGAAGGCCTTGTGGTCTGAGTGCTTTTCCATTGTTTTGGGGGATCTGGGGAAATCTGCACATTTTGCGAGACTTCTATATTAAGCTATTTTGTAAAAATCTGTGCCTCATGTCAGAGGTTTGTGAGAGTAAAAGTGCAGGCATTGGGGTTTGGTTCACATATTTCAGAAACACCAAGGACAAATGTTTCTGCTTCATAATTTTCAGTCCTATGATTTCAAATGTGATCCTGCAAAAAAATCGGAAAAACTTTTATCAGAGCCCAAAACACCTCAGCACATATGATATAGTGAAGCTTCTATTTCACTTTACTCTTTTTTTAATCTCTGGTAATGTAGGTCAAAAAGTTTTCTTTTCCTTGGTAGAAATTAACTTAAAAACGTGAACTCTCTATTCCAAGCACCTCACCTGTGGAATAGTTTATTGTATCTACTCACCTCAAAGAATTTTTAAAGACTTTAATGCCATAGAAAAACTTAGAAACCTGCCAAGAATAGAATAAATTCTTAATTGTTACATTATTTCTTATTGAGTTATTTTATTATTTAATCTTATATAAAGCTTAGTGGGACTGTGATCTGCACGTTTTCACTTTTTGATTTTTATGTATCCCAAATTAGCCTATAATTTTAGCTTCAGGGATTTCAGAATAGCATACTTGAATTTATGTGTTATATAAAAAGTGAATTACTTAGTATGCACCTCACATTAATAAAATTTCAGTTTGTGTGTCTAAGTTTACTGCATAGAAAAACTTATCATTAGTGTTTCTATTAACTTTCCTCAACATTATCTGAATGATAGTATAATTTATTTCTCATTGCTTATTATGTAGTATTGTTTCATTGCATATTTTTCAATATTCATGTTGTTCCCATATTTAAAAATGTAAAGCTTTTCTTTACTTAAAAAAAAAAATAAATTATAGGCCAGTGCGGTGGCTCACGCTTGTAATCCCAGTACTTTAAGAGGCTGAGGTGGGTGGATCACAATGTCAGGGGTTCAAGACCAGCCTGGCCAACATGGTGAAACCCCGTCTCCACTAAAACCACAAAAAGAATGAGCAGGGCATGGGGGCGGGTGCCTATAATCCCAGCTACTCGGGAGGCTGGGGCAGAGAATTGCTTCAGCCTGGTAGGTGGAGGATGCAGTGAGCCGAGGTCTCGCCACTACACTCCAGCCTGGGTAACAGAGCGAGACTCTGTTCTCTAATATCATTGAAATCTTCATTAAAATTTTCTTCTAAATGTTCTTTATAGAAGATTATAATGCATTTGTTGTGAAATTTTGTTACTCTAACCATATGCTAATAATTCAAAATCTGTTCTTTATGGGTGTCCAGTTATGGTTGATTATTTCAGTTATCTAGAAAGAGTCTTCTTCAGTTGCATGATTTGTTTATTCAGTATTTCACAGGTTAATGTTTATCCAATTTTGTTTTGTAATATTTTATATTCCTGTATTTTCCTGTTAGGATAGGCTGTCTTACATCATTTAATTGTGTTTTTAGTTTCTGCTTATATGTTATAATTTTTTATGACTATATTTAACTGTGTACACTTTAAAAGAGTGTAGAAAAAAAGTCAAATATGAATCAACCGTATGTGTATTGCCAACATAATTCTCTGTTCGTTTGACTGTATAAACATTACTCATGCTTTATTTATGACTTCTGTATTTATTTAATTAGTGGGTGGTCAATTATTTTTTTAATCCTCTCTGGGTGAGTAGTTGTGGAAATTGCCCTAATTTCCACATCTATGTATTAATGAATCTATATTACGTTTGCGTGAGGAAAACACCTCTGTGATGCGAGGGTAATTTTTTTTTTTTTTGACCACAGAAGTTTTTATTGCCCTCCTGCTCCGCAAAGGGACCTTGCTTCTGCTGGTTTAGCACCTCAAGACGTCTGTGATGTTGGTCTCAGACACCACTTTGCCGTCCACTATCCTGTGGGTGTTGGTCTTTTGGATGCTTTACAGGTATTTGCTGCTGTCCAGAATACCACCAAGATTGAAGTCCTCCCCATCTTCTAGCAGGCGGCAGTAGGTGGCAATCTCTGTGAAATGGGACACAGAGATCCAGGAGCCCCAGACCCCACGCCTCATAGAAGCTCGCCGCGCTGCTGACCTGCTGAGCACTTTAGCTGGGCGACTGGACAGATCCCAGGGACAGGTAGTAGTTGATGGAGAAGGTGCGGAGCAAGTGGTGAAGCTCGCTGTGTACGGGGAGGAAAGCGAGAGGACAGGACTCAGGTTTTGCCGAGGTCCTGAAGATAATTATTGAAATGCATTAAAACGGTATCTCACTTAGATATTATTATTGTTTACATTGTTATAAGAAACATATAAAATTGACAATTATTTACAATTTTACAATAATTTACAATGACAATAATTATATAGTTTAGACTTTTCAGCACATTGACATTATTCGACGTATCTCTAGAACATTTTTATCTTACAAAACTAAAACTCAATACACCTGAAACAACTGCCTGTCTTCTCCTTTGTTCAGCCCTTTACAAATGCTATCTTATTCTCTGTTTCTAAGGATGTTACTACTTTAGATATTTTATACATGTGGATACACTCAGTATCTGTCTTGTAGCTGGCTTATTTTATTTAGCATAATGTCATCAAGATTTTATTTTTATTATAGATAAAAGGTTTTCTGCTTTTCAAAAGCTGGGTAATATTCTATTGTTTTTATATTCCAAATTGTACCCATTCATTTGTTTGTTGAGGGAAGTATGGATTGCTTTAACCTATTGATTTTTGTAAGTAAAGCTACAATAAATACGTGAGCGTTTACATCTTTTTTGCACTCGGTTTTATTAGTCTATTTGTCTGTCTTTATGCCAGTAACAAACTACTTAGATTACTGTAGATTTGTAACAGGTTTTGAAAACAGGAACTGTAATGTTTCCAAAATTTTTCTCTTTTTGAAAACTGTAGAGTTCTTTGTGGTCTCCTGAAATTCCATATACTTTTGGGAGTCACATTTTCTGTATCTGTCAAAAATAAAATTAAGAATTTTATAGGGATTGTATTAAATCTGTAGGTCACTTTTGGCATTATAGACATGTTCAAAATAGTAAGTTTTCTAACTCTTGAACAAAAGCATGTTCAAGAGTAAATTGCTTAATTTTTACATATTTGTGAATTGTATGAATTTTCTTCTGTTATCGATTGCTAGTTTTAATCCTTTTTGGTCAGAAATTATAGTATGTAACATTCAATTTTTTTATTATACTTTAAGTTCTAGGGTACATGTGCAGAACGTGCAGGTTTGTTACACAGGTATACATGTGCCATGTTGGTTTGCTGCTCCCATCAACTCATCATTTACATTAGGTATTTCTCCTAACGCTATTCCTTTCATAGTCCGTCACCCCCAAACAGGCCCCAATGTGAGATGTTCCCCGCCCTGTGTCCATGTGTTCTCATTGTTCAACTCCAACCTATAAGTGAGAACATGCGGTGTTTGGTTTGAAGTCCTTGTGATAGTTTGCTGAGAATGATGGTTTCCATCTTCATCCATGTCCCTGTAAAGGACATGAACCCATCCTTTTTATGGCTGCATAGTATTCCATGCTGTATATGCTCCACAATTTCTTAATCCAATCTATCATTGATGGACATTTGCGTTGGTTCCAAGACTTTGTTATTGTGAATAATGCCGCAATAAACATATGTGTGTGTGTGTCTTTATAGTAGCATGATTTATAACTCTTTGGGTATATACCCAGTAATGGGATTGATGAGTCAAAAGGTATTTCTGGTTCTAGATCCCTGAGGAATCACCACACTGTCTTCCACAATGGTTGAACTAATTTACACTCCTACCCACAGTGTAAAAGTGTTTCTATTTTTCCACATCCTCTCCAGCATCTGTTGTTTCCTGAAATTTTAAAGATCGCCATTCTAACTGGCGTGAGATGATATCTCATTGTGGATTTGATTCGCATTTCTCTGATGACCAATGATGAGCAATTTTTCATATGTCTGTTGGCTGCATAAATGTCTTCCTTTGAAAAGTGTCTGTTATATCCTTTCCCCACTTTTTGATAGGGTTGTTTTTTTTTCTTGTAAATTTGTTTTAGCTATTTGTAGATTCCTGATATTAGCCCTTTGTCAGATGGGTAGATTGCAAAAATTCTCTCCCATTCTGTAGGTTGCCTGTTCAATCTGATAATAGTTTTGTTTGCACCCTGGTTTCGAACCAGGTACGCTACGGTCCCGGGGCTGTGAGCGAGGGCTGATGGGAAGGCACTTTCGTGCATGGGGGACACAGGCCCCGCTTCTCGGCTGTGAGGTTTTTTTTTCTTTTTTTTTCTTTTTTTTCCCTGCCACATGTGACTCACCTCCCCTCCCTCAAACCTAACCTTCCCCTCAGGGGCCTTCTGCCCGCTTTGGGGTACACATAGCGGGACCGAGACGCTCCCTGGGTTCGAACCAGGGTCCGGGGCCATGTGCAGGGGCTGATGGGAAGGCACTTTCGTCCGTGGAAGACCTAGGAACGCTTCTCGGCAGCGCGGTTGATTTTTTTTTTTTTTTTTTCCTGACACAGGTGCTTCACCTCCCCTCCCTCAAATCTTACCTTCACCTCAGGGGCCTTCTGCCCGCTTTGGGGTACCCCTAGCGGGCCCGAGAAGCTCCATGGGTTCGAATCAGGGGCGCCAGGTTCCCTGGGACCCAGAGCAGGGGTTGAAGGGAAGGCAGTTTCGTGCATGGGGGACCCAGGCCCCGCTTCTCGGCGGCGCGATTTTTTTTTTTCCTGCCACAGGTGCCTCACATCCCCTCCCTCAAACCTAACCTTCCCCTCAGGGGCCTTCTGCCCACTTTGCGATACCCCTAGCTGGCCCGAGGCCCTCCCTGGGTTGGAATCAGGAACGCCAGGGTCCCCGGGTCCCAGCGCAGGGATTGAAGGGAAGGAACTTTCGTGCGTGCAGGACCCAGGAACGCTTCCTGGTGGCGAGTTCTGTTTTGTTTTTTTTCCTGCCACAGGTGCTGCACTTTCCCTCCCTCAAACCCCACCTTCCCCTCAGGGGCCTTCTGCCCGCACTGGGGAAACCCTAGCGGGCCGAGATTCTCCCTGGGTTCGAAGGGACACCAGGGTCCCGGGGCCATGCGCAGGGGCTGATGGGAAGGCACTTTCTTCCGAGAAGGACCCAGGAACGCTACTCGGAGGCGCGCTGTTTTTTCCTTTTTTTTTCTGCTACAGCTGCCTCACCACCCCTCCCTCACACCTTAACTTCCCCTCAGGGGCCTTCTGCCCGCTTTGTGGTACCCCTAGCGGGCCCGAGAGGGCCCTGAGTTGGAACCGGCGATCCATGGTAACCGGAGCCCAACCCAGGGACTGATGGGAAGGCACTTTTGTCCGTGGGGGACCCAGGCCCCGGTTCTCCGGGGCGCTTTTTTTTTTTATTTCCTGCCACGGGTGCCTCACCTCCCTTCCCTCAAAGCTTACCTTCCCCTCAGTGGCTTTTGTCCGCTTTGGTGTACCCCTAGCCGGCCCGAGACGCTGCGTGGGTTCTAAGCAGGGACGCCAGGGTCCCCGCGGTCCAGCACAGGGGCTGATGGGAAGGAACTTTCGTCCGTGGGGGACCCAGGAACGCTTCTCGGTGGCGCGTTTTTTTTTTTTTTTTTTGTGCCACAGGTGACTCACCTCCTCTCCCTCACACCTTACCTTCCCCGCAGGGGCTTTCTGCCCACTTTGAGGTATCCCTAGTGGGCCCGAGACGCTCCTTGTGTTCAACCAGTGACGCCAGGGTCCCCAGGACCCAGAGCAGAGGCTGATGGGAAGGCACATTCGTCCCTGGGGGACCCAGTCTCGGCTTCTCGACGGCTCGGTTTGTTTTTTTTTTCCTGCCACAGGTGCCTCCCCTCCCTCAAACCTAACCTTCCCCTCAAGGGCCTTCTGCTAGCTTTGGAGTACCCCTAGCGGGCCCGAGACGCACCCTGGGTTCGAACCAGGGACGCCAGGTTCACGGGGCCATGCGCGGGGGCTGATGGGAAGGCACTTTCGTCCTTGGGGGACCCAGTCTCCGCTTCTTGGCGGCGCGGTTTTTTTTTTTCCTGCCACAGGTGCCTCATCTCCCCTCCCTCAAACCTTAACTTCCCCTCAAGGACCTTCTTCCCGCTTTGGGGTACCCCTAGCGGGCCCGAGACGCACCCTTGGTTCGAACCGGGGACGCCAGGGTCACCGGGGCCCAGCGCAGGGACTGATGGGAAGGCACTTTCTTCCGTGGGGGACCCAGGAATGCGTCTCGACGCTGAGTTTTTTTCTTTTTTTTTTTTTCATCCACAGGTGCCTCACCTCCCTTTCCTCAAACCTAACCTTCCCCTCAGGGGCCTTCTGCCCGCTTTGGGGTACCCCTAGCGGGCCTGAGTCGCTCCCTGGGTTCGAACCAGGGACGCCAGAGTATCCAAGGCCCAGTGCAGGGACTGATGGGAAGGCACTTTCGTCCGTGGGGGAACCAGGAACGCTTCTTGGCGGCGAATTTTTTTTTTTTGTTTTGCGTTTTTTTTTTTTCTGCCACAGGTGCCTCACCTGCACTCCCTCAAACCTTACCTTCCCCTGAGGAGCCTTCTGCCCGCTTTGGGTATGCCTAGCGGGCCCTTTACAAGAAGCTCTTTAGTTTAAGTAGGTCCCGTTTGTCAATTTTGGCTTTGTTGCCATTGCTTTTGGTGTTTTAGTCATGAAGTCTTTGTCCATGCCTATGGTATTGCCTAGGTTTTCTTGTAAGTTTTTATGGTTTTAGGTCTTACATTTAAGTCTTTAATCCATTTTCACTTAATTTTTGTATACAGTGTAAGGAAGGGATCCAGTTTCAGTTTTCTGCATATGGCCAGCCAGTTTTCCCAGCACCATTTATTAAATAAGGAATCCTTTCCCCATTGCTTGTTTTTGTCAGTTTTTTTCAAAGATCGGATGGTTGTAGATGTTTGGTGTTATTTCTGAGGCCTCTGTTCTGTTCCATTGGTCTATGTATCTGTTTTGGTACCAGTACCATGCTGCTTTCCTTGCTGTAGCCTTGTATTATAGATTGAAGTCAGGTAGCGCGATTCCTCCAACTTTGTTCTTTTTGCTTAGGATTGTCTTGACTATGCGGGCTCTTTTTTGGTTCCATATGAACTTCAAGGTAGTTTTTTCCAATTCTGTGAAGAAAGTCAATGGTAGCTTGGTGGGGATGACATTGAATCCATAAATTACCTTGGGCAGCATGGCCATTTTCACAATATTGATTCTTCCTTTCCATGAGCACGGAATGTTCTTCCATTTGTTTGTGTCCTCTTTTATTTCGTTGAGCAGTGGTTTGTAGTTCTCCTTAAAGAGGTCCTTCACATCCCTTGTAAGTTGGATTCCTAGGTATTTTATTCTCTTTGAAGCAATTGTGAATGGGAGTTCACTCAGGATTTGACTCTCTGTATGGTATTGTAGGAATGTTTGTGATTTTTGCACATTGATTTTGTATCCTGAGACTTTGCTGAAGTTGCTTATCAGCTTAGGAGATTTTTGGCTGAGACGACGGAGTTTTCTAAATATACAATCATGTCATCTGCAAACAGGGACAATTTGACTTCCTCTTTTCCTAGTTGAATATGCTTTATTTCTTTCTCTTGCCTGATTGCCCTGGCCATAACTTCCAACACTATGTGGAATAGGAGTGATGAGAGAGGACATTCTTGTCTTGTGCCGGTTTTCAAAGGGAGTGCTTCCAGTTTTTGCCCATTCTGCATGATATTGGTTGTGAGTTTGTCATAAATAGTTCCTATTATTTTGAGGTACATTCTGTCAATATCTAGTTTATTGAGCATTTTTTAGCATGAAAGGCTGTTGAATTTTTTCGAAGGCCTTTTCTGCATCTATTGAGATAATCATGTGGTTTTCGTCATTTGTTCTGTTTATGTGATGGATTATGTTTACTGATATGCATATGTTGAACCTGCATCCCAGGGATTAAGCACACTTGATCTTGGTGGTTAAGCTTTTTGAAGTGCTGCCTGATTCGGTTTGCCAGTATTTTATTGAGAATGTTTGCATCGATGTTCATGAGGAATATTGGCTTAAAATTTTCTCTTTTTGTTGTGTCTTTGCCAGACTTTGGTATCAGGATGATGCTGGTCTCATAAAATGAGTTAGAGAGGATTCCCTCTTTTTCCATTGATTGGAATAGTTTCAGAAGGGTTGGTACCAGCTCCCCTTTGTACCTCTGGTAGAATGTAGCTGTGAATCCGTCTGGTCCTCGACTTGTTTTGGTTGGTAGGCTATTAATTATTGCCTCAATTTCAGAACCTGTTATTGGTCTATTCAGAGATTCAACTTCTTCCTTGTTTAGTCTTGTGGGGGATGTATATGTCCAGGAATTTACCCATTTCTCCTAGATTTTCTAGTTTATTTGCGTAGAGGTGTTTATAACATTCTCTGATGGTAGTTTGTATTTCTATGGGATCAGGGGTGATAGCCCCTTTATCATTTTTTATTGCTTCTCTTTGATTCTTCTCTCTTTTCTTTATTAGTCTTGCTAGCAGTCTATTTTGTTGATCTTTTCAAAAAAATAACTCCTATATTCATTGATTTTTTGAATTTTTTGTAACATTCAATTTTTCAAAAATTCTGTTCAGAATTGTTTTTTGGCTTCATAGTTATTTTTAGGAGAATGTTTCATGAGCTTTTGAGAAGATTGTGAGTTTTGTTTTTGTGTAGAGTGTTCTGTATGCATCTGTTATATCTAATTGCTTTACAGTATTTTCATGTCGTCTGTTTACTTTTTAATATTCTATCTGGCTTTTTTATTAATTACAGAACTGGTGTATTAAAATATTATACTTTTAATATATTGCCGTTTTTGCTTATGTTCTGTCAAGATATTATTGAGATATTTAAAAATACTCATGTAAGGTGCATACATATTGGTGTGAATACATAATTAGATATATACACACAATTATGTAAATGTGTATAATTGTCATAGGTTTCCAGTGAATAAACCCTTTTATTATTTTGTCCTTTGTTTTTCTGACAATTTGATTTCATAATATATTTTATAAACTAAGACAGTTATTTAAAAAGCATTTTGCATACTATAATTGTGACATAGTCTGTCCTCATTTGGTTATGATTTGCATAATTTTTTGGATGCATCTTGCCACATTTAGTCTGTTTTTGTTACTATAGAGTAAGATGGCTCATATCTGTCATCCTAGCATTTTAGGAGATTGAGGTGGGAGGATCACGTGAAACCAGGAGTTTGAGACCAGCCTGGGAAACAAAGCAATACCAAGTCTCTAAAATAAATAAATAAATAAATTGAGTCCCTTTAGACAGATGTAGTTAGATTTTCTTTCTTTTTTTTTTTAATTCCTATACTCAATTTATGACTTTTGGTTGAGAAGTTTAGTTTGTGAGTAGTTACATAATTTCCTGCATTTGAAGGAATTACTTTTGACACTTTGTGGAGTAAAATTTAAATATTAAATTTGAACTCAATTGAATCTGGACTCAAACAATGGTCACCAAGTCCTGGAACAGGTTGTGTGAGCCCCTTGAGGCTTTCATCCAGCGCTGTTTCGGATAAATCTCTATTTCAATTTATTCCTATATGTTAGTTACTGAAAAACAACAGACAATCAAAAAAACAAGTTGACCTTTTTCTTTTCCTTGAGCCCAGAAATGAAGGGCCCTCCTGACTGGACGTCATGCCAGATAACTCATTACAAAAAGAGCTAGAGTTCCAGACTGTGCCAAAACTTCATGAGATCTCTTCTCATCTGTTCACGGACAAGTGGCCAACTCTGGAGCCCAGTCTGTTGCTTCGCAGTCTGGTGGTGAATCCTCCATAGTCTGATGAGTGTAAATATATATATCTCTTTTCCCTTCTCTCCGTCCCATTGCAACTTGCTTATTATATCATTTGCTTATTATATCTGCATTGCCATTTACGTGGGATACAGTTTGTTTACCCTTAAAGGTATTGTGTGTGTGTGTGTGTGTGTGTGTGTGTGTGTGTGTGTGTGTTTCCTTCTCTCCTTGAGCATTTCCTGCGCAGAACATTTTTGGCTTCACGAACAGGATCCGAAAGCAAAAGCATGCCATTTTTTGGTGCAGGGACCAGACTGGGAGCTCGGGGACTTTCCATATCTTCAGATGGGAACTCCCTTAGTTCTTCCCCTTGGCCATTCAGTGGTCCAAGGGAGCTGACGTTTGTGAAAATAGGCAATCTAAGTTAGTGCATTTTGAATCATTGGCTGTGTGTGAAGAGGTGCAGGGAATCCCAGTTGGTAAATGGGATGCTGAGAGAATTTCCCGGCATGGATGGTGCTTGCTTACTGCTTATAAGTTAATGTGTCAAGATAGGAATCAGCTGCTACAACAGAAATGTAAGCCAGAAAAGAAAATGCTAATCTGACTTCCAGGCTGGCCCTGGCCCATGGCCAGGCCTATGTCTTGACTGATCAGCCTCAAAGTTATCAGCCTATTGCTGAAAAAAGCAGCTGCCTGAGTGGCCCAGTCAGGGTAAAACTGAAGAACTAGTCAGCTGGGGCTTGGATCCGGTAAAAACCCAAATCCTATCTCAAGGATGGGAAGTTAACCCTAGTAAAATTCAAGGACCTCCACAAACTGTAAAGTTCCTTGGCATCCTATGGAATGCAGGGAAACAGTCCATTTTACCAAAGGCTAAGGCTAAAATACTAGAATTTGCAGCCCTACCACTGAAAAGGAGGTCCAAAATTGTATTGGTTTGTTTGGATTCTGGAGACATCATATTCCCCATTTGGGTAACATTTTACAACCTCTGCATGCAGTCACTAGAAAACGCTATGACTTTCACTGAAGACAGAAAGTGAGCGTGGCTTTTCAACCAGCCAAACAAGCAGAGCAACAGTATGGCCCTTACAGGATGGGCCAGTAGAACTGCAAGTAACTGTCCTAGATCAACACGCTCATTGGAGCCTTAGGTAGAAACAAGATGGGAAGAGATACCTTTGGGGTTTTAGACCCAGAAGCTGTCAGAGGCTAGCAAAGCTTATACTCTTTGAGAAGCAGCTGTTGACCTGCTACTGGGCTTTACAGGAAACAGAACACCTTTGTCTTAATCATGATGTTTTTATGAGGCCCCAAATTCCTAATATGACTTGGGTCATGAACTCCCTCAAACCTCATTGGATAGGGTACACTCAAGAAAGTAAATGGAAATGGCACATACAAGACCAGGCTAAGCCGGAACCAAAACAGGTATCATTTTTAAATGAGGATGTGCAAAACTTGCCAGCTCAGCAAACCACTGAGCAAGTCCTGCAGATAAGGAAGGAAACCTCCCCTGCCCAATGGGGCAAATCCTTTAAAGAAACAAGCCCAGACGATCAGAGACATGCTTGGTTTGCTGATGATTCCACCAAATATATTGATGGGACCCGATGCTGGGAGGCCGTGGCTTATAATCCTGTTAAAAACATAAGCATTTCTGAGGAAGGGAGGGGTGTTAGCAGCCAGCTGGCTGAACTAGAATCTGTTCTCTGAACTATTCAGGAGGAGGCCAGAGGGATTTGTTACTTGTATACCTACTCTTGCTTAGCAGAAAATGGTCTTACTACCTAGTTGCCCGAATGGCAATGAAACAAATGGTGAATTACGAATAAAGAGGTTTGGAGAAAACAATACTAGGAAGATATCTGAATCCTGGTGCACACTACCATTATTGCTGTTTTCCAGATTGATGCTCGTGCATCTCTGCTTTCTCTTGACAGACTATTCCATCAGCAGGTAGATCAACAGGTGTGAGATTCGGAACCTTAACATTGGGCTGTGTTCATGTGAAAAGATGACAATTTTTGCTCTTCGCTCAGTGTACATATGAGTATCACAATCTCACCTTTGTTCTGGGCCCTAGCAGGACACTCTCTTCACCATATGAAGCCTTTATAGAGTATGCATGAGTGTAACAATTCTCTCTGAAACCTTAAGCAGGCACGGACCCCTCCTTGTACCTTTAGCTTTAAGCCCTGGTATGACAGTCAACATCTTTCTACTTGGATGGGTCCAAATAAGAGTTCTTAACTGCCTATGAGCTGCGTTTAAAAATGAGTCACCATCCCACCTGTGGCTGGATGTTCACATATGAAAGTCAGAATCCCAGTTGTGGACTATGTCTGCATGTGTAATTCAGGACCTCAAGAGTGGGCTCTCTCCACATGTGATAGAGACCATCCTGAATATTGGTGTGGTGTGAATCTGAGAAGTATAATCTCACCAGTGTGCTGAGCCCTTTGGTGACAATTTCTCTACCATAGTTTACACAATATGCAAGACAGTGGTACTCCTCCGTGTGACGTATCACTGGGTCTTGCACACAGGTAATGTGAGTCTCCTCTCCTGCCTTGGAATGCTCACAGGAGGCATTGGGACATACCACTGAACCTGATATTCAGGTTATGTGCCTGTCTTTCCTGTGCTCTGTCCATGGGCGTTTGTGACATATTTTTGGGTCCAAAACACAGGCAACATAGCTCTCCTGTCTGGATCCTGCCTAGAGAGGGCATGGTGGCGTATCCCTGCACCAGCCACCAGATGATGTAACTCTATCTTCTGTCTAGTCCCTGCTTACAGGGTGAATTTTGACTTATCGCTAGGCGCAGCATTTAGCTAATATGACTCTTCCCTTTTTTCAGGTTCTGCCCACGGGGAAGATTGTGACATATCGATGGGTAAAACACCAAAATGATTTTACTCTTTTGTCTTTGTTCTGTCCTTAGAAGGCATTGGGACATATTGCTGAACCAGCACCAAGGTAATGTAAGGGTCCTACCTGAACCCTGCCCACAGGGAGCATAGTGACATATCTCTGAGCCCATGAACTATTTGATGTGGCTCTATTCTCTTACCTGGACTTTGCCCATGAGAAAGACTGTGACGTATTTCTTGGTCCAGTGCTTAGGTAATGTGATTCTCCTCTCCAGCCTGAGACATGCCCACAGAAGTAAGAGTGACATCTCTGGGCCTAGCCCACAGGTGATGTGACTCTTATCCCTTCTTTCTGCCCAGGGGAGTCATTGTGATGTATATCTGAGACCATTATAAGAATGATGTGACTCTCCTGTTCTTACTGCGACCTGTCCACAGTGGGGATGATGATGTATCACTTAGGCCAGCACATATGTGGTGAGATTCTTCTCATGCCTGTGCCCTGCCCCCTGGGCTAATTGTGACATATAACTGGACCCCTCCCCTAGGTTATGCAACATATCCCTGTGGTAACACTCTTTGTACCATTTAAGGGCTTTATATAATATAAGAGAGAGTGGTATTCCTCTAAGACCCTCATACAAAGAGAAGATTTAGGACCTACTGATTTTCCAAAGCCTCACTAGGAAAAACAGCATTTCTCTTAGTGGCAGGTTTGAGGTATGAGAGTCATTATTACACCTGTGAGCTGGCCAAGATATATGTTTCAATCTCTCCTGTGGGTAGGGAGTGAGCAGGAGAGTCGCAGGGACCAGGTAGGAGAGTCACATACCTAAGGCTGGGCCAGGGATATGTAACAATCTTTTATGAGGTCGGAGGCTAGGAAGGGAGTCCCATCACTTGTGTGCTCACCTGGGATATGTTACAATCCCCTCCTGAAATCAGAGTACAAGCAGCAGAGTCAAATCACCTGAATATTGAGCTCAGTGATATGTCACCACACTCCCTGTGGGTAAAGCCATGGCAGGAGAGACACATCACCTGATTACTGATTACTAGGCCCAGTGATATGTCAGAATTTTTCCTGTGGGCAAGGTGCAGGCAGAAAGGAGAGTCACATCATCTGGTGATGGAGGCAGAAATATGCTACAAGGCAGAAATATGCTCTGCCTCCCTGTGGGCAGAGTTCAGGCAGGAGCCCCCAATCTCCTAGGTGTTAAGTTCAGTGATATGTTACAATGCTCCCTGTGGGCAGCACAAGTCGAGAGAATAGAGCCACATCACCTACGTTCTAGGTCCAATGATATGTCCCAATTTTATTTGTGAGCTGGGCTTAAACAGGAGAGTCTACTCACTCAGGTGCTGGACAAATGTGTATGTTTGTCACAATGACACCTGCAGGAAGTTCTAGACATGGGATGAATCCCGCACATATTCTGGTTTTACGCATGAGAGTGAACACCTTCTGTATGTTTGATCTAAGTACACAAGTCACTATCTCAATAGTGGACTAAATTTGTGCATGGCAGCCCCATTTTCTCTTGCAGACTTTCTCCCCTAATTGAAATCACGGCTTCACAGGTGTGCCGACTCATGATATGAGAGTCATCAACATATCTGTGACTCTCACATATGAGAGTCAGTTTTTCAACTTTTTTTATTGTACTTTAAGTTTTAGGGTACATGTGCATAACGTGCAGGTTTGTTACATATGTATACATGTGCCATGTTGCTGTGCTGCTCCTATTATCTCCTCATTTACATTAGGTATATCTCCTAATGTTATCCCTTCCCCCTCCCCCATCCCACAACAGGCCCCGGTGTGTGATGTTCTCCTTCCCGTGTCCAAGTGTTCTCATTGTTCAGTTCCCACCTAGGAGTGAGAACATGCCATGTTTGGTTTTTTGTTCTTGCGATAGTTTGCTGAGAATGATGATTTCCAGCTTCATCCATGTCCTTACAAAGGACATGAACTCATCATTTTTTATGGTTGCATAGTATTCCATGGTGTATATGTGCCACATTTTCTTAATCCAATCTATGATTATTGGACATTTGGGTTGGTTCCAAGTCTTTGCTATTGTGAATAATGCCACAATGAACACACGTGTGCATGTGTCTTTATAGCAGCACATCATGGTACTGGTACCAAATCAGAGTACGTGGTACTGGTACCAAATGGAGCAGAACAGAGCCCTCAGAAATAGTGCCACACATCTGCAACTATCTGATCTTTGACAAACCTGACTAAAACAAGAAATGGGGAAAGGATTCCCTATTTAATAAATGGTGCTGGGAAAACTGGCTAGCCATATGTAGAAAGCTGAAAATGGATCCCTTCCTTACACGTTACACAAAAATTAATTCAAGATGGATTAAAGACTTAAATGTTAGACCTAAAACCATAAAAACCCTAGAAGAAAACCTAGGCAATACCATTCAGAACATAGGCATGGGCAAGGACTTCATGTCTAAAACACCAAAAGCAATGGCGACAAAAGCCACAATTGACAAATGGTATCTAATTAAACTAAAGAGCTTCTGCACAGAAAAAGAAACTACCATCAGAGTGAACAGGCAACCTACAGAATGGTAGAAAATTTTTTCAATCTACTCATCTGACAAAGGGCTAATACCCAGAATCTACAAAGAACTCAAACAAGTTTATAAGAAAAAAGCAAACAAACCCATCAACAAGTGGGCGAGGATATGAACAGACAGTTCTCAAAAGAAGATATGTATACAGCCAAAAGACACATAAAAAAGGCTCAGTTTTTCAACTTTTGAAACTGCCTTTGGGTATGGGATTCAGAGCCTCAAAAGTGAACTATGATCATGTGAAAGAATGACAATCTTTAATGTTGGCTGGGTGTGCATCCCAATGTCATTATATTACTGTGTGCTGAGCCCTATTAGGAGTTTCTGTGTTGCACCTGAGGGCTTTATATGGTATGCATGACAGTCTCAATTCTTTCAGAGATTTTCATGCTGGTATGGACCCAGGATCAAACCTGTGGCCCTAAGCCTATATATGAGTCAACATCTTTACAATTGGCGGGGTCCAGATAAGAGAATCATCACCTTTCTATGCGGTGGGTTTATAACGAAGTTCCCATTCCAACTGTGGCCAGATCTTTACATATGAGATTTGCAATTCCAACTATAAACTGCATTCATGTGTGAAATTCAGGACCCCACAAGTGGGTTCTGTTTATATGTGAGGGTGAAAATCATAATGGCCAGGAGGGTGCAGGGTGCGCATAGGAGTAACAAATTTCACCTGTGTGCTGGGCCCTGTGATAAGACTCTCTACCACCCGAGGGCTTTCTGTAATATGTGAGAGAGTGGATGATCTTAACGAGGAGACCCAGGGATTTTTTTTTTTTCATTTCCCTAAGTGTCGGTAGGAGAAGCAGGATCTCTCCTATTGGCTGGTGTGACATATGAAAGTCATCATTGCACCTGTGTGTTGTGTTCCAAGATATAAGTCACAATTACACCTTCATATAGGAAGAGAGAAGGAGAGTAAAATCAGTTGGACGCTGGGCCAGGGATATGTCGCTTCCCTGAGAACAGGGACCAGAGAACAGAGACACATTACCTGAATGCTCAGGCATGGGTATGTAGCAATCCACTCCTTAAATTAGGAACCAGGCAGCAGAGTCACATCACCTGGGTGCTGGATCTAGCAATATGTTACAATCCTCTCTGTGGTCAGGATGCAGGTAGGAGAGTCACATCTCCTTGGTGATGAATGCAGAAAAACGTCACAAGTTTCTCTGTGCATAAGGTAGAGGAATAAGCCTTTTATCCCCTAAGTGTTGGGCCCGGGGATATGTCACAATACCCAAAATATGCAAACCCAGGCAAAAGAGAACAGTCACATCACCTTGGTAGTAGGGTCACTGATATGTCACAATCCCCTCTTTTGGAAGGGCCCAGATAAGAGTGGAGAGTCACATAGCCTAGGCAATGAATAGAAAGGTATGTCATAATACCCCTGTTGGCAAGACCTATGCAGAAGAGTCACATCACCTATGTGTTCAACCCAGATATATGTTACTGTACACCATGTATGCAGGGCCCAGGCAAGAGAAAAGGCCACATCACCTCGGTTCTGGGCCCAGCAATATATCACAATACCCCCTAAGAGGAGGTAACAGACAGGAGAGTCACATCACCTAGGTCTGAGGAGCAGAGCTATATGGTAATGCCCTGTGTGTGTGCACCCCAAAATAGAGGAGAGTTACATCACCTGAAGACTGTACCCAGCTATGTCACAATGACCCCTGTGGGCAGCACCCAGGCATGAGAAGAGAGCACCATCATGTAGGTGCTGTGCCAGGCTGTATTTCACAATCTCCACTATGGATAGGTTTCAGGGAGAAGAGGACCGTCACATCATCTAGTTGATGAGTCTGGAGATATGTCAAAATGAACCCTCTGAAGAGACCAGGATGCAGAATCACATGATCTGTGTGCTGGGTCTAGGAATAACCCATTCTCCCTTCTGTAAACATGGCCACGCAGAAGATGAGGGTCACATATTTAAGGTGATGAACGCGGAAATATTTCACAAGTCTCCCTGTAGGCAAGACCCAGACAGGAGATTCCCTTCCCTCAGTTGTTGGGACCAGAAATACATCACAATGTGGGGCTCAAGCAGAAAAACTAAAGAAACATCACCTATTTTCTGAGCTCAGAATTAGTCACAATCTCTCCTATAGGCAAAGCCTTTGTTAAAAAAGAAGAGTTTTATCAAATAGTTGATGGGCTCAGAGATATGTCCCAATGCCATATGTTACAAATTGCTGTAGGCAGGCTTCAGGCAGGAGATGGGCCTAATAATGTGTCACAGTGCTTTCTGCTTGCAGGGCAAAGTCAACAGAGTAATGTCACCTCGAAGTTGGACCCACCAATGTATCACAATCTCCTTCCAAACAAATCCTAAAAAACAAAAGAAGAGTAACATGAGGTAGGTGCTGGGCACAGTGATATGTCACAATCCTTTCTTTAAGCAGGGACTAGGCAGGAGAAGAAAATCACACCACATGGGTGATGGGCTCATAGATATTTCACAATGTCCCCTTAGGCAAAGCTCAGGAAGGAGAGGTAGATCATCTAGGTTTTGTATGCAACAGTATGTCACAATGGCCATTGTGGCCTGGGCACCGGCAGAAGAGTCACATAACATGGATGTGAGACCCAGCAATACATCACAACGCCCCGGTGAGTAGCACTAATGCAAGACAGAAAACTTACATTACCTAGGTGCAAGGCCAAGTGATATGTCCCAATGTCCCCTGTGGGCAGCACCAAGGCAGGAGGTAAGAGTCACATAACCTAGGTGCTGGCTTCAGTGATATATCAGAATCCCATCTGTGAGCTGGGCACAGGAAACAGAGCTAAAATACTCGGGAGCTGGGCAGAGATGTATGTCACAATCCCACCTGCAGAAAGCGACAGGGATGAGATGAACAACTCCACACATGTCCGGATTCCAGGTATGAGAATTTGCATGTTGGGCCTAAGTACACCAGTCTCAATCTCAACAGTGAACTGGATTCATAAATGTGTCTTCTCTGGCTGACCGTGTCCCCTTAGGAGAGTTACAGTCTCACAGATGTAATGAATTTTGGTTTGAGAGTCACCCACCTACCTGTGGACAAGATCCATATATGAGAGTCAATTTTCTTTTTTTTCTTTCTCTTTCTTTCTTTCTTTCTTTCTTTCCTTCTTTCTTTCTTTCTTTCTTTCTTTCTTTCTTTTCTTTTCTTTTCTTTCTCCCTTTCTTTTCCTTCCTTCTTTCTTTCTCTTTTTCTTTCTTTCTCTCTTTCTTTCTTTCTGTCTTTCTTTCTTTCTTTCTTTCTTCTTTGCTTTCTTTTTTTTTTTTTTCTCCCTTGAGATGGAGTCTCACTCTATTGCCAGGCTGGAGTGCAGTGGGACGATCTCGGTTCTCTGCAACCTCTGCCTCCTGGGTTCAAGCGACTCTCCTGCCTCAGCTTCCTGAGTAGCTGGGATTGCAGGTACATGCCACCATGCCCAGCTAATTTTTGTATTTTTAGTAGAGATGGGGTTGCCAGGCACAGTGTTCCATGCCCGTAATCCCAGAACTTTGAGAGGTCGAAGTGGGTGGATCACTTGAAGTCAGGAGTTTGACACCAGTCTAATCAATATGGTGAAACCCCGTCTCTACCAAAAATATAAAAATTAACTGGGCATGGTGACATGAGCCTGTAGTCCCAGCTACTCGGGAAGCTGAGACAAGAGAATTGTTTGAACCTGGGAGGCGGAGGTTACAGTAAGACTAGATGGTGCCACTGCACTCCAGTCTGGGTGACAGAGCAAGATTCTGTCTCAAAATAATAATAATAAATAAATAGTAGAGAGGCGGGGTTTCACCACGTTGGCCAGGATGGTCTTGATCTCCTGACCTCGTGATCCACCCGCCTCGGCCTCCCAAAGTGCTGCGATTACAGGCCTGATCCACCGCACCCGGCCGGTTGTGCTCATTTTTGAGGATAACTTTTATTGTCACCAGAGTGTGCATGAGTGTTAGAATCTCACCTGTTTGCTGGGCCCTGTTAGGACACTATGTACCTCCTATGGGCTTTGTAGAGTATGCATTAAACATAATCCACTCTGAGGTCTTCATGCTGATATGAACCTATGATCATACCTGTGGCCATAAGCCCAGGTATGAGAGTCAACATCTCTCCAGCTGGCTGGATTCAGATAAGAGGATCTTTACTTGGCTGTAAACTGGGTTCAGAAATAAGTCACTATCCCAACTGTGACTGGATGTTCACATGTGGTAGTTACAATTCCAGCTGTGGACGGCACTCAGGTATGAGATTTAGACCTCCCTAATCACCTCTGTTCCTGTGTAGGAATGACAATTCTGATGATTGGTGGGTGTGCACACAGAGAACACAATCTCACCTGTGTTCTGGGCCCTGTGATGACACTGTACCATCTGAGTGCTTTACAGGATATGCAAGAGTGCTTATTTTCTCTGACCTTCATAGTAAGAGAAGACCCATAATTTTGCACATTTTGTAAAGCCTGGATATGAGACAAAGTATCTCTCCTATTGGTTGGTTTAAGGTATGAATGTCATCATCACACCTACATGTTAGGCCAAAATATATGTGACAATCTCACATTTGAGTAGTCAGCAAGCAGGAGGGTCTCATCACCTGGGTCATTGTCAGGGATACGTCACATTCTCCCCTGAGGACAGGGACAAGGCAAGAAAGTCACATCCCTAGGTATTCTGCCAGGGATATGTTCTTGTTCCCTCCTGAAAGCATGACACATGCAGCAGAGTCACCTCACCTGGGTTCTGGGTCCAGCGATATGTCACAATTTTCCCTGTGAGCAAGGCACAGGCAGGAGAAACACATCACCTGTTTGCTGGGCCCAGAAATATGCTACAGTTTTTCTTGTGAGCAGGGCTCAGGCAGAAATGGGGGAATCACATTTTCTAGGTGATAAATGCAGAGCTATGTCACAAGGTCCCCAGTAGTCAGGGCCTTGGCAGAAGATTCCTATTGTCTAGGCGATTGGCCCAGTGATACAACACAATAGCTAAATTATGCAGGGCCCAAGGCAAAGAGGAGAGTTGCATCACCTAAGTGATGAACAAAAAGATATGTCATAATACCCAGGTGGAAATGGGCCATGCAGGTAAGTCACATTACCTAGGTGTTGGACCCAGTGATATGTCACAATACACAATATATGCAGGGCCCAGCCAAGAGGGGAGAGTCAAATCACCCAGGTGCTGGGCCCGATGATACATTGTAATCTGTCTTTGGTCAGAGCCCTAGCAGTAGAAGAAACTCACATCACCTCCATGCTGAGGTCAGCCATATGTCACAATAACCCTGAGAAATGAGCCCAGGAAAAGAGTCACATCATTTAAGTGAGAGGCCCATAGATATTTCCAATTCCTCCTGTGGGTAGTCCTCAGTAAAAAGACAGTCACATTAGTTAGAATCTGTCCCCAGCGATGTGTAAGAATCCCAGCTGTGAACAGGCACCAGACAGGACAAGAGAGTCCCATCACCTGGGTGAACAGTGCACAGATATGTCACAATGACCCCATGTAGGTAAAGTCTAGACAAGAGTTACATCACCTGGGTGTTGGACCCAGCAATATGTCACAATGGCTCATGTGGGCAAAGCACAGGACACAGTCATATAACAAAGTGCCAGGACCAGTGTTAGGTCAGGATACCCTTTATGGGCAGTGCCAAGACAGGAGATTAGAAGCATATTAATTAGATGCTGGATTCAAGGATATATCACAATCTCATCTGTGGGCTACACCCAGGCAAAAAAGTCAAATCACTCAGGAGCTGGCTAGAGGTGTACGTCAGAATCACACCTGCAGGAAGGTCCATGGATGAGATTAACAATCCCTCATAAGTGCCAGTTCTGGATATGAGAGTGAACGCCTCCTGTATGTTGCATCTATGTGCATAAGTCACAATCTCAATGGAGGAATGGGTTTTTTCCATGAGAGCCTTAATCCCTTTTGAAAACGGAGTTATCTTAGTGGACTCACAGCCTCACAAGTGTTTTGGATCTTGGTCAGGGAGTCACAAACCCACTTAAGGACAACATCCACTTATTAGAGCCAATTTTCCAACTTTTCACTGCCTCTGGGTGTGAGTTTCAGAACCTCATTTATGTTCCATGTTCGTGTGGGAGAATGACAATTTTGACAGATGGCTGGGCTCAGGCAGGAGCCTTTCATCCTGCAGGTGTTGAGACAAAGGATATGATACAACACCTAAAATATGCTGGGTGCAGGCAAAAGAGGAGACTCATATTAGCTGGTTGCTAGGTCCAGTTATATGTCACCACCTCCCTTTTTGGCAGGGCTAAGGAAAAAGAGGAGAGTCAGAGCTAAAGAAATGTCATAATGTCCCTGCGGGTAGGACCTATGCATGAGAGTTGCAACACCTAGTCATTGAACCCAGCCATATATTATAATACACAATGTATACAAGGCCCAGGCAAGAAAGGAGAGAATATCACATAGGTACTGTGTCCAGCAATATGTCACCATACCCCCCAGAGGGGAGGCTCCAGGCAACAGGATAACATTACCTAAGTGAAGTGCCCAGAGAGATGTTTCAATGACCCTGGTGGGTAGGATTTTGAAAAAAGAGAAGTTACAGAACCTAGGGGCTAGGCCTAGCTATGTGTCACATTCATCTCCAAGACGGAGCCCAGATATGAGAGAAAAGTCACATGATGTAGGTACTGGGCAAAGTAATATGTCACAATCCTTATGTGAGCCGGCCATAGGAAGAAGTAGAGAGTCACATAGTCTAGATGATGGGCCCAGAGGCATTTGACAATGACTCCTGTAGGTAGGGACCAGGCAGAAGAATCACATCACCCCTGTGCTGTTCCCAGTTATAAGTCACACTTCCTTCTGTGGGCATGCCCCAGGCAAGGAGAGGAGTCACATCATCCCGGTGCTAGACCCAGGGTTATGTCACAATCTGTCTTATGGGCAATGCTCAGGTAAGAGAGGAGAGTTGCATCAAATAGATGATGGACCCAGAGGTATGTCACGATGCCTTCTGTGAACTCGATCCAGGCAGAAGATTCACATCATCAACTTGGTGCTAAGCCCAGCAACGTGTCACAATCCCTTCTGTGTAAAGGGACCAGGCAGGAGAAGAGAATCACATTACCAGGCTGATGAGCACAGAGATATGTCACAATGCCCCTGTAAGGCAGGGCCCAGGCTGTTGGGTTACATAGCCTGAGTAGTGGACCCAGCAATATAACACAGTGTCCCATATGGGCAATGCACAAGCCGGAGAGTCACATAACCTGGATGCGAGGCCAAGCTATATATAACAATGCTTCCTGAGGGCAGCGCCAAGGCAGAAGAGGAGACTCACATCTCCGGGTGCAAGGTCTAGCGATATGTCAAAATGCTCACTGTGGGCAGTGCCAAGGAAGGAGAATAGAGTTACACCCTCAATGTGCTGGATCCAGCAATATGTTAATATCCCATCTGTGGGCTGGGTCCATGTGAGACCATCAAGTCACTCAGGTGCTAGGCACCGGCAAATTTCACCATGAAAGCTGCAGAATGGTCCAGGAATTAGATTAACAATCCCACAACTGTCTCAGTTGTAGGCATGACATTCAACACCTCCTGTATGTTGGGTCTAAGCTCACGAATAACCCTCTCAACACCAGACTGGATTTGTGCATGAGAGTCTCAATTCCTCTGCAGACTGACCTGTGTTCCCGTGAGAGGATGACAATAGTTACTGTTGGCTGGGTGTGCATATGAGTGTCACAATCTCACCTGTGTGCTCGGCCCAGTTAGCACGCTCTGTGTACTACCCAATGGCCCTATACTCTATGCATGAGAGTCGTAATCAACTTTGACACCTTCCTAATGGTAGGGACCCATGATCGTACTTGTAGCATTAAGCCCGGTATGAGAGTCAACATCATTACAATTAACTAGGTCAGGATAGGAGAGTCCTCCCTTGCCTATGAGCTGAGTTTAGATGTGGGCCACCATTTCAACTCTGGTTGAATGTTTATATATGAACACGGGCCTAACACTGAGGTGATGTGAGTCTTTGGCCTAGACACTTCAAGCAGGAGGCAAAGTGACATATCTCTGGGTCTATCAACTATTTGATGTGACCTTCCTTTTTTACCTGAGCTTTCCCCATAAAAGAGATGTGACATATGTCTAGACAAAGCACCTGGGTGATGTGACTCTCCTTTATTGACTGAGCCCTGTGTATTTTGGGTATTCTGACGTATCCCTGGACCTAACTTCTGGAAGATAAGAAGATCCAACATGGGCCCTGCCTAAAAAGTTTCTTGTGACAAATTTCTACATGAATCACCTTGGAGATTTGACTCTCCTCTCTTACCCGAGTTTTGCCCATAAGAGAGATTGTTACGTACCTCTGCAGCAAGCACCTAAATGCTGTGGCTCTTCTTTCTTGCCCGGGTCATGCCCACAGATGAAAGAGTGGCTTATCGCTGTGTCCAGCACACCGGTTATGTGATTATGCTGCCTGATCTCTGCTCACAGGAGCCATTGTGACATATCCCTGGGGCCAGAAACTATTTAACACGACTATCTTCAATGACCTTAACTTGGTGCCTGGGATAAGTTGTGACATATCTCTGGATCCAGCACCTAGGTGATGCGACTCTCCTTTTCTGCATGGGCTATGCTTACAAGAAGGAGGCTGACTTATTGCTGTGTTGACAAGTGATGTGATACCTCTGTTCTTGTCTTCTTAGTTTTTAAGAATTTAAACAAGAGACACAAGGAAAAAAAGTACAGCATAATTTATTGGAAAAGAAAATACTTGAAAGTTAAGTGCAGATTACAGTACACCCTGAGAGAGATACTCCAGGGCGGGCTGCTCGTAAGAGTGAGACAGCGTGGACTGTCGCTGGAGAAACCCCCTTACGGGAGTTTTACATTATTATTAATAAGGTGGAGGGAAGAGGAGTTGCTTATAAGCATGTTCTGAGTGATATTCTGGGTGCACATACGCAGTGACTATACATGCTTGTTCATATGTTGCATGTCTCGTTAGCATCTTAGATCTCCACCCAGGAGTGTATTTCTGTTTGTTTGTTTGTTTGAGACAGAGTCTCCCCGTGTTACCCAGGCTGGAGTGCAGTGGTGTGATCTCTGCTCACTGCAACCTCCGCCTCCTGAGTTCAAGCCATGCTCATGCCTCTGCCTCCAGAGTATCTGGGATTACAGGCATGCACCACCATACCCTGCTAATTTTTGTATTTTTAGTTGAGACGAGATTTCACTATGTTGGCCAGTCTAGTCTCAAGCTTCTGGTTTGAAGTGATCCATCTTCCTCAGCCTCCCAAAGTGCTGGGAGTACAGTTATGAGCCACCTTGCCTGGCTAGGGCCTATATTTTTTGCTATTAAAATAAGCGAAAGTTAAGTTTGAGGACAGGTGAAATCAAAATGCACATGCTTTCTAGAACAGAAAGTCCTTAATGAGGATAACTTTGCTTGAATAAGCCCAATTACAATGCGAATGCTACGGCTTATTGTGTTGGCTGTACAGTCACCATGGTTTCTGTATCCTGAGATCATGGTCATTTTCTGTACTATCTATTCTGCCTCAATTTCCCCCTAAGAGATTTTAGGGCAATAATCATATTGGAGGTTGAGGGGTTAGGCCATTATTTCTGGAGCTGTTTCCTGCTGAGCGGGTGTTACTTCTGCCTAGCCTGGGCCTTAAAGTTTCTTCCTGTGTGATCTAACAGGGTGTAAACCATGTCGTTCGTGGAACCAGTGGGAAGATGCTGGCAACCAAAGGTTGAAAGCCTTGCAAAACCATCATGCAAACATGGAGTTGCCGTAAGCAAGAGAGCAAGAAATCAGTTAACATTTTAAACAAAATTGGAACAAAAGTAAAAGTTGAAAATATAATAATGACGGGTACTATTAAAGAGAGCAAGGCAGACAACGGACATAGCTTTCATGTTCCCATGGAAGTTCCTAGAGATTCAATTTTGTCTGCCTGGGTGATGATATTATTAATATTTTCTTCGACTAAACCAGACTGATTGATCTCAAAAACAGCATTCTTCTTTTAGATATAAACATGTTCCTCTTTACCCGGCTGGGAGAAGATCCCAGGCTCCTTGGTTTTGTCGGACTACAGTGGCCATGGAGTCCAGATGTTGTTGAAGTCTATTGAGGCCCTCTGCTGCCTGTTGGGGACACACTGAGATTTTCTGAGATAGTTTATACTGGATTCCCAAGGCTCCACCTTATGGTGACATTTGTGCTGCAAAGGAATTCTGCATTGAAATGGTGAAAGCAGCAAAAGTTTTAAGTCTTTTCTATTTTTTGCCAATAAGCAAAAGTTTTCTGCAGCTACGTGGTCAGCAGTCATTGGGTCCATTTATGGATGGTGAAGTTGAATGGTGGTCAAAGTTAGAGCCTGGAAGGCTTCAGTAAATGCGCTGAAGTTCTTTGGGAGCCATCAGAGCTGTTGCGTGCATTGGATTAGATCATTTATTGAGAAGAGAACAAGCACTCTGATGGTCCTCTCTCCATTTGGGACTTTCTGTAAGCGGATCAAATTCTCTGGCCCTGCATGGTGTGAAGTTCCACCGCGAGTAACTACAGCTGGGCTGCTCACTATTGTACCTGGCAAAGGCTGATAGAGAGGAGCATAAGGAGGAGGTGAAACAAGCTTAGATTCTACAGAAGACTCTGATAGTGTGGGGATGCTGCGGATTCTACAGGAGGTGTAGGCCCTTGAGAGTCCCTATCTGGAGCTGGTGTTGGGCTGTTGGGTCTGGGGTCCCTTCCCCTTAATAAGAGATGATCTTCTAATGCTTCTGAGGGGCTTTGTGGCTTACTAGGCTTTAGCCCACAGGTGCTGCATAGAGCTGGGTTTTGTTGTCAGGCCATAAAGGTTTGCACATAGGATATTTCAGACCATTTTCCCTGATTTCTACAGAAAAGATCTAGCTGTAGGAGGGTGTTAAAGTTCACAGTCTCATTCCCCAGCCATGTTTTGTGAGCTAATCTGTATGCAAGCTAAATAGTATTACAAAAGAAGATAAGTTTTTTCTTTTCTTTTTTTTTTTTGGTTCATCTAGCCAAAAGCTGTTTCAATTTTTAAATATACATCCCAGGGGTGTTTCAATGACAGTAGAGGAAGCGGCTCCCATGGTGCCGACGGAATCTTGCAACGTCAGAACATGTACTAAAGTCCAGGAGGCCATGGGCATCACAATGGGACAAGTGGAACCACCAAGGTGTCCAGCACAGCCCCTCGAGACCCCATTAACTGAAGCTCTAGGAGGTCATAGGCATGTGCCATACACCGTCCTATCTCTCACAAGCGCTGCACATCTCCAGCCGTGCCGAGATGACCCCCACTGCTGGCTGGGGGGCAGATGTCTGGCTGACAAGCCTTTCCCTAATTTACTGGTTTGCAATTTATGATGCCGAATTATGACACCTGCAATGCTCAGATTCAAACCCCACGACCGGGCATCTACATGACTTTGAGTCGTTTGTTCAGCAAAGAAAACCTGTTGAAGAACAATTTCAAGGAGGTGGGAAATGCATAAAGCCTGAAGGGACAGGGTTCTCTTAATATTCCACTCAAAACAAAACAAGACAAAACTGTAAACAGAAAACCCGATCAGAAAATAAAGTACAATAGCCACTAGGTGGCGATCGAGTATTGCCGAAGGGACAGCAAACGATAAGCTGAGTCTGAAGTGTGGCCAGAAAGATGTGAAACTAAGCAGCAAACTAGCCCGAATATGAAATGTTGAGAGCAACCCATGCGGTGAGTGTCATTTATGGATAGTACAGATGCAGCAGCCAAAAGGAGAGCAGACATATATTCTCTCTCTAGAGAATATAGGTGATTTAAACACGTTTCCCCCAGAACTTTAGTGAAACAGCGCTGGAACAACCAGCGATAGTTAACCAGGTAGTCTGGAAGTGCCATAGTATTCACTGCAAGAAAAGGGAAACTGAAATTAATGAAGCAGACAAACCTCTCTCCGGGCCATGGCAAAAGAAATGTTGATGGCTGATGTAATACCTTGGTTCTTATCTTCTTAGCTTAAAAGAATTTAAACAGGAAACATGCAGCAAAAGAAGTACAGCATAGAGTAATTTATTGCACACAAAAAAGAAAAGAATACGTTGAAAATCAAGTGCAGAATAGACGGTACAGTCTGAGAAAGAGATTCCAGGGCAGCCTGCTCATAAGAGTGAGACAGCATTAATTGTTGCTGGAGAAACCCTCCTTCTGGGAGTTTTACATGATTATTCATAAGAAGGTGGAAAGAAGTGTTATAGAAGGCATGCTTTGACTGGTCTTCTGGGTGCACATGTGCAGTAGCTGTACATATTTTTGCATATGTTTCATGTCTCATTAGCATGCAATGACATTTCACCCAGGAATGTGTTTTTACTTGTTAAAATGAGCAAAGGTTCAGCTTGAAGACAGATAAAATCAAAATGCACATGCTCTCTAGACGTAAAAGTCCCTACTGAAGATAGTGGGTTTCAAACGACCCCAAGTGCTCCACAACTTAAAAGTCGCTCCCACGAACCTGGAACACTATCTGTTCCTGAGGGATCAGGTCCCATTTGTGTCTCTGAGACACTGGCAAGTGAGGCACGACTTGGGATGAGACCGATGATTTTAATTGTAAAATGCCTAAATAGTCAGCAGCTTCAGGTTACATTTTGGAGCTTGTCCACTTAAATGGGTTGATGAAAATGGCTCACAAAACTCACGCCTTGGAAAGCGGGTTTTCTCCCTTGCTCTTAGATTTTCTGCAACCCATTAAACTAACTTCCTGATGCCTCGACTTTCACATTCGTGAAAAAGGCGCCATTGAGAGTGACGTTTCCAGGAAGGCTCAGCCCTTGTCAGCCCCTGCAGAGCTCTGAAGCTGTTCACAAGCAGGCCATGTGGAAGATTTCTCTCAAAAGCCATTGAGCACGCGCTCTGGCTAGAGAAAAAAGAGGGCTGCTGCACAATGGACAGTGTCTCAGACATCAGGACAGTTTCCACAGTAGTTTAGGAAAAAAGGCAGTGCCCTGAGCTGCAGAAGGTGCAATGCTCTGGAAGGAACCCTGGGTGCAGCTGAAAGAGGAACCTGAGAAGCATAGGGCCAATCGGGTGAGGATAACCCGCCTGATTTGGGCAAAGGTAAGGTGCCTACATAGGGTAATACCCTCCTCAATGCTCAGCCCAGACCTGTCCTCCAGGTCCACCTCTGTACTCACTCTCTGTGGCAAAGAGTCGGCATAGCATAAGAACTCAGCAATGCTTTGGACACTGGGAAGTCCACACCGCTCTGTCCCTCCCTCCAGGTCTATGCACCCCGGATCCCGGTATATGCTGAGATTATGGTTCTGAAGCCCACCGACAAATAGGCTGAGAGCAGTTAACGGACTACAGCTCCCAGCATATTAGGTGGGGCATGTACAACTTTGCCCCTTCTTCCAGGGCTATGCCTTACCCCGGAGACTGGCGCATGCTGGGATTGTAGTCCTGTAGCCATTTGACCAAAGGGCTGGGAGTGTTTATGAGAATACAACTCCCAGCAATCCTAGGGAGGAGCACACAGCCCCGCCTCTTCCCCCAGTGATACGCATTGTCCCTGAGACAGGTGCATGCTAAGATTGTAGTCCTGAAGCTCTGCGACCAAAGGGCTGGGAGTGTTTATGAGCATATATCTCCCAGCAAGCCTAGGAAGACGCACACAGCCCCGCCTCTTTTTCCACTGACGCGGACTGTCCCTGACCCCAGTGCATACTGGGATGGTAGTCCTGCATCCCTGTGATGAAAGTTCTGGGAGTCTCCATGAAACTACCTCTCCCAGGAAGCAGAAGGAGGGGTCCACAGCCTAGCCTTTTCCTCCAGTAATGCGCACTGTCCCTGAGCTGGGTGCATGCTGGGATTGTAGTCCTGCAGCCCGGTGATGAAAGGTCTGGGAGTGTTTATGAGACTACATCTCCTACCAAGCCCAGGAGGTGCACACAACCCTGCCTCTTTCTCCAGTGACGCCAACTTTCCCTGAGCCCGGTGCATGCTAGGATTGTAGCGCTGCAGCCCTGTGACAAAAGGGCTGTGAGTGTTTATGAGACTGCATCTTCCACCAAGCCCAGAGAGGCGTGCAGAGCCTCGCCCCTTCCTCCACTGATTAGCGCATGCTCCCTCAGTCCCATGCATGCTAGGATTGTAGTGCTGCAGCCCTGTGACCAAAGGGCAGCCCAGTGACCAAAGGGCTAAGAGTGTGTGAGAATACATCTCCGAAAAAGCATAGCGAGAAGAGCACAGGTCCACTTCTTCCTCCACTGAGGCGCGCTCTCCCTGAGCACGGTGCATGCTGGGATTGTAGTCCTGAAGCCCTGTGACAAAAGGGCTGGGAGAAATAATGAGACTACATCTCCCAGAAAGCCCAGCGAGACGCATGTACCCCTTTCTCTTCCTCCATTGAGGCGAACTGTCCCGGTGCCCCGTGCATGCTGGAATTGTAGTCCTACAGCTATGTGATGAAAGGGCTGGGATTGGTTATCAGAATGCATCTCCCAGCAAGCCCAGCGAGGCACGCACAGCTCCACGTCTTCCTCCAGGGACACACACACACACACACACACACACACACACACACACACACAGTCCCTGAACTCGCTGCATGCTGGGATTGTAGTCCTGCAGCCCTGTGACCAAAGGGCCAAGAGTGTTTATGAGACTACATCTCCCAGAAAACGTAGGGAGAGGCACACAGCCCCACATCTTTTCCCAGTGACGCATACTGTTTTTGATCCTGATACATACTGGGATTGTAGTCCTGCAGCCCTATGACAAAAGGTCTGAGAGGCTTTATGAAACTACATTTCCCAAGAAGCGCAGCGAGGTGCGCAGAACCTTCCCATCCTTATCCAGTGAAGGGGAATGTCCGTGAGCCCCAAGCATGCTGGGATTGTAGTCTTATAGCACTGTGAGCCAAGGGTAGGGAGAGGACACGAGACTACATCTCCGAGAAAACCTAGGGAGACGCACACAGCCCCACATCTTTTCCCAGTGACGCATGCTGTTTTTGATCCTGATGCATTCTGGGATTGGAGTCCTGCAGTCCCGTGACAAAAGGTCTCAGAGTCTTTATGAAACTACATTTCCTAGCAAGTGCAGCGAGGTGCACACAACCTTCCCCTCATTCTCCAGTGATGTAGACTGTCCGTGAGCCCCAAGCATGCTGGGATTGTAGTCTTATAGCACCGTGACCAAAGGACAGGGAGAGGCCATGAGACTACAACTCTCAGGAAACCCAGCAAGGCGCACACTGCCCGGCCTCTTTCTCCTTAGACTAGCGCACTGTCACTGAGCTGGGTGCATACTAGGAATGTATTCCTGCAGCCCTGTGAGCAAAGAGCTGGGAGTGTTTATGAGAATACATCTCCCAGTACTCCCAGGAGGTGCACACAGCCCTGCCTCTTCCTGCAGTGACTAGCGCACTGTCCCTGAGCTGGGTGCATGCTGGGATTGCAGTCCTTGGCGATCTATGACCAAAGGGCTAGGAGTGTTAATGAGACTACATCTCCCAAAAAAGCAGAGTGAGAAGCGCACAGCCCTCCCTCTTCCTCCAGTGACGTGTGCTGTCCCTGAGCCCAGTGCATGCTGGGGCTGGAAGTGTAGTCCTTCAGCCCTGTGACGATAGGGCTGCGAGGATTTATGAGAATACATCTCCCAGCAAGCCCAGCGAGTAACAAACAACCCCGCCTCTTCCTCCAGTGACGCGCAATTTCCTTGAACCCGGTGCTGGCTGGGAGTGTAGTCCTGCAGCCCTGTGACCAAAGGTTTGGGAGTATTTATGAGAATACATATCCCACCAAGCCCAGCGAGACGTGTACAATCCCTCCTCATCCTCCAGTAACGCGCACTATCCTTGATCTTGGTGCATACTGGGATTGTAGTTCTGCGGCCCTGTAATGAAAGGTCTGGTGACTTTATGAAACTACATCTCCCAGCAAGCCAAAGGAGGCACACAAAGCTTTGCCTCTTCATCCAGGCACACGCACTATCCCTGATCCCGGTGCATGATGGAAATGTAGTCCTTCAGCCCTGTGACCAAAGGGCTGGGAGTGTTTATGAGACCGCATCTCTCAGCAACTAAAGCAAGGCCTGCACAGCCCCGCCTTTTCCTCCAGTGACGCTCACTGTTCACTAAGGAGTGTTCATGAGATTACATTTTCCAGCAAGCCCAGCGAGTTATGCACAGCTCTACCTCTTCTTCTAGCGACGCGCACTGTCCCTGATTCCGTTGTATGCTGGGATTGTGGTGCTGCAGCCCTGTGACAAAGGGGCTGGGAGTCTTTATAAGACTACATCTCCCAGCAAGCCCAAGAGGCTCTCACAGCCATGCACCACCCCCTCCCGCCCCACTTTTCCTTCAGTGACGCGCACTGTTCCCTGAACATGGTGCATACTGGAATTCTCCTGTTGCGGGATTCAGGAGGACGAGACAGACCTCAGGTTGAAACAGGAGAATCTTTATTGAGTGCACTCAGGACCAGCTGACTCACGTCAAAAAGACCGGGCCCGGAACACAGACAACACCTGACTTTTATACACACTTCACAAAAGGGGGTGGGCTAGCTTGAAGCGAGCTTACAGTGGCGTGAAAGCAGGAATACAGAGGCAGGACAAAGACAGGATTGCACATGACCGTTGCCAAGCAACCCACATGTCCATTATCTAGGTTTCCCTGGGCATGGGCTTATCCTATAACCCTCACTATGGTGCCCAAACAGCTGTAGTTCAGCCTACTCAGGCTTCTCATGACTTTCATTGTACTTCTTCGATAAAACACAATACTTGAAGTCACTAGTTACAGAGAACAAGAATCTATAAACTCATTCCATAAAACAAAGGGAATTTGTTTTTCTTTTCCCTGTGTTGGGGGAGTGTTGGGAGAACCTCCAGAGCACATTACATAATATTATCAAGAATTTTCCTGGGTCTGGGCTGTGCCTATTGCTGCCTCTGGGACAAATCAGCCTAATACAAGAAAACTTATTTCTCTTTCCTTTTAATTTCATTTTTCTTTAATTTCCTTCCTTAGTCCTGCAGCCCTGTGACCAAAGGACTGGGAGTGCACAGTTACACATCTGTTCACTTGTCATGAGACTGTTTTCCTTTAACCCCATGAACATACTTACCATAGCTTCTTTCAAATCTTACCTACCGATTACAGCATCTTGCACATCTTGAGAATAGGTTCTATTGTCTGCTTTTTATCTTGTGAATCGATTACATTTTCATCCTTCTTCACGCATCTCATAAATTTTTAAATTGTGTGATAGGAATTACAGGGACTCTGGCTTCTGTTGTATTTCTTTGAAAATTATTATTTTATGAGGGAGTTAATTTGAATAGATGCAAACCCCAATCCTTATCTCTTCTACAGTGGCAATACTAAAATCTTCATTCAGTTCTTCTAAACAGTGTGCGTTTCTATATAGCAAAATATAGTATTTTATTAAACTTTATTATAGTATATGTGAAACAGTTATTGAACAATCTACTCTACTTCATTATTACTGGAAGCCAGAACCTCAGTTGTGTTCACTTTCTGGATTTTATATAAGTGAAATTGTACAACATGTATACTTTTACATCTACTTTCTTCTATGCAACTTTATATTTATGATATTAATTCATCCTATTGCAGATAGCTATAGTTTGTTTATTTAAAAAATATTTTTTATATTGTGGCAAAGTATACATAAAATTAACCATTTTAGCTATTTTAAGTGTGCAGCTCAGAAAAATTAACTACACTCACATTGTTTTGCAACTATTATTCTCATTCATAGGGACCTTCTTTCAACTTCCAAAACCAAAATTTAATGCACATTAAATAACAGCTCCCTGTTACTCCCCCTCCAGCTCCTAGGAACCACTCTTCTACTTGGATTTCTAGAATTTAACTACTCTAAGTATCTCATAAGTGGAATGATACAGTATTTGTCCTTTTATGACTGGCTTATGTCACTTTGCACAATGTCCTTAAGGTTCATGCATAACGTACCATGTGTCAGAATTTTCTTATTTTACATAACTGAATAACGTTCCAATATATGTATAAATCACATTTTATTTATTTATTCATTGATGATAATTCAAACAACACGGGTAATTCACAAACCTTTTGGGTGATGTGAGTAATGCTGCCATGAGCCTAGGTGTACGTGTATTATTTTGTGTCTTTGCTTTCACATCTTTTGCTACATACCCAGATGTGAAATTGTGGGATCATATGGTGACTTTTGGTGTACATTTTTTAGTTATTATACTGTTATTTTATAGCAGCTGCAACATTTTACATTTCCAACAACAGTGTACAAGGGTTCTAATTGCTCCACGTCCTCACCAACACTTGTGATTTTCTGTTTTGTTTTGTTTCTTTTGGTAGTAACTATGCTGATGTGTATTAAGTGATATATCATTTGGAGTTATATTTGCATTTTACTAATGATTAGTTTTGTTGAGCACCTTTTCATGGACTTATTAGCCATTTCACATAATTTTTAAAGAAATGTCTGTTTAAGTATTTTGCCCATATTTTAAACAAGTATTTTGTTTTATTATTGCTGAATTGTTCTTTGTATATTCTGGATAGAGTCCTCTTTATTTTTCTTTTGTTTCTTGCATTTTTTGTGTCCTGTTAAAAAAAATCACTGCGAAATCCAGCGTTATGACATGTTTTACCTACATTTTATACTAAGAATTTTGTAGTTTTAGCTCTTACATTTAGGTTTTTGTCGAGTTAGTTAATTTTTTCTTATGGTATAAGTTAAGGGAACAGTTTCACTCTTTTACATGTAGGTACCCAATTTCCCCAGCACTAACTGTTGTAAAGGCAGTTCATTTCCCATAAAAATCATTTGACCATATATATGAGGGTTTATTTATATTGGCTTTCTATATTACTCCATTAGTCTATTTGTAGCATGCTATTTTGGAATTTTGTAGTAAGTTTTGAAATCATTAAGTGTGACTTCTCTAACTTTGGTATTTTTTTTTCAAAATTATTTTTGCAATTTAGGGTCCCTTGAGATTCCTCATAAACTTAAAAATTGATTTTTTAATATCTACACAAAATAATTGGCATTTTGCTTCTTGGTTACTTCCTAATTTTATTCTTTTGATGCTATTGTAAATTGAGTTGTTTTCATAATTTTCTTCTCAGATTATTCGTATTACTACATAAAATACAGTTTATTTTTCTATGTTGATTTTGTATGCTACTACTCTGCTGAATTTATTAATTTTAATATTTTTTGTGTGGAATCTTTAAGATTTTCTACATAAAAGAATATATTTTCTGTACACACTTTGATGAAGTTTATTTCATTGTCTTTTTTAATTTCTCTGAATGAAACTTCTAATACAGTGTTGAATAAAAGTGGCTGGCAAGAGCAGACATTCTGTCTTCTGAGCTTAGACGAAATAATTTTGGTCTTTTCCTCTAGAACATGTAGTTTGCTGTGGGTTTTTATACGTGAATTTTACAAAGATGGTTTTCTTTTATTCGTAATTTATTGTTTTTATTATAAAATATTTTGAATTTTGTAAAATACATTTTCTGTATTAATGAGATAATGTTTTCTAAAAATTTTGTTAATGTGTCATATGCATTGATTATTTTTCATATGCTAAAACTTTTGTTAAGAAAGGCTAGCTAAGTGAACCAGTGAGACTGGAAAAAGAATAAAGAAATCTATTCTGGTTGTGATCAATTAGTTGTAAACACCATTGCACTGAAACCAGCCATACGCTAAATCTTCCTTACATTCCAGTAATAAATTCCCCTTGGTCATGGGGTGTAATCTTGCTAGTATGCTGCTGAATGTGGTTAGCTAGGATGTTGCTGAGTAGTTTTGCATCCGTGTTCATAAGGGATATTAGTCTATGGGTTTTTGTAGTCTCTTTGTCTGGCTTTGGTATGAGCTAATGCTGGCATCATGGAATAAGTTTGGAACTGCTCTCTTCAGGATTTTGGTAGATTTTGGAAAGGATTTTTGTTCTATAAATGCTTGATCTACATCACCAGTGAAGCCAACAAAACAAGGGCTTTTCTTCATGAGAGGTTTTTAATTACTGATTCCATTTCCTTAGTAGTTTTCTATCTATTCAGATTTTGTATTTCTTTGTAATCAAGTCTTGCATAAGTAGGAATCTGCCCACTTTATCTAGGTTTTCCAATTTATCATCCTATCATAGTTCACAGTACACTTTTTTAAACATTTTATTTCTTTGAATTAGTAGTAATGTCCCACTTTCATTACTCATTTTAGTATGTGAATATGCTGTTAATTTTTCGTGTGTGTAGCTGAAGTTTTGCCAATTGTTAATTTTTTGAAGAACTGAGAGTGAACTTTTGGTTTTTTGGAATTCTGTTGTTTGTGTAATCTCTATTGCATTTATCTCTGCTAAAATCTTCAATACTTTCTTCTTTCTCTTTGCTTTGTATCTAATTTGGTGTTATTTTTCTAATTTACTAGGTGATAAAGTTATTATTTATTTGAAATCTTTGCTCTTTTTAAATGTATCTTAGCTGCAAACTTTTCATCTTAACACTGTTTTTGCTGTTTCCCATAACTTTTGATATGTTTTGTTTTCATTTTTCTTCCTCTGTATGTTCCTACTTCTTCCGTGATTTCTTCCTTTACTTAATTTATACAATTTTGTAATTCTTTAAGTTGTAATTGTGTAGTTGTTTAATTTATACAATTTTGTAAACTTTCTAGCATTTCATCTGTTATTGATTTAATTTGAGATCTACTATACAGCCCATCCTGGAGAATTCCCCATGTGCATTTGAGAAGAGTGTGTACTCTGTTTTGTTGGATGGAGTATATTGTATATATCTGTTAGATCAATTTAGTTCATTGAGTTAGTCAAGTCCTCTATTTCCTAATTTGTCATTCATCTCATTTTTCTATTCATTACTCAGAGTGGAGTATTAACATCTTCAACTATTATTTTAGAACTGTCTATTTGTCCCTTTAATTCTGTCAACTTAGTCTTTCTATATCTAAATGTTTTATTATTAGGTATGTAAGTGTTTAAACTATTTCTATCTTCTTGCCAAATGCACGTTCTATGATTATATAATGTCTTATTGTCTCTTGTAACTTTTTAAGTCTATTTTGTCTGCTATTAATATAGTCATCCCCAGTCTCTTTTTCCTACTATTGGTATAAAATAATTATTTTCTTCCCTTTTTTATAACCCTGAATTGCTGTGGAAAGCTAACAGTAGCATTACTTAATTTAAAAAGCACAGAAATCTTAAATCAATAGCTTAATGTTTGTAAAAGCATTTAAATGGAAATAAGCTACCAGTTCACCAGGAACAAAGGATATCAGTTGGGTCTAAGAATAATCATGCCAAAAAGCTCTAGGAGGAAAAGCTCCTGGGAATTAGGACTGTGATAATGGTCTTTGAGATCAACAAAGAAATGGGGAAATGGGGATGCTCAGGGTCAGGTACATGCTTAGCAAAAGACCCAGAAAACCCTAAGCTGTCACCTGTGTACTTTAAACTCTGCACAAGTAGAAAATAGAGGCACAAGGAGAGTTGTAACTTTATGCTGATTAGTAAAAGCATGCTCCAACACACATACATAGATCCCAGGTGAAAAAAAATCAGATATTTATTTTTAGTGAAGGTTAAAAAATCTGGAGTCTTACTTTCCAATTAAGGATTAGTGAAAATATTTGGGGAGATTTGCATTGATCAGTTCATCCTGAGGTCAAGAAAATCTTGATTTTAAAATTTGGAGCCTCCAGTAAAGGATTAGCTTCCACCTAGAGGTGTTCTTTGGCCTTTTGGACTCAGAGCTATCTTGACACTACTACTGGTTACACTGATTTGAAAGTCAGCTAAGAGCTTGCTACAGAACTCCTGACAAACTAAGTTTGACCTATAGAGGGCTAGGGCATCCCCAGCTGGTTGAAATTTTGTGCCTCCTTCTATCCTCTGAAGCAAAGCTGCTGTCTCTGTGGGGCCCCCAATTTACTGAGTGTTTCCTATATGACTGGTCCTGGTTCATAGATGAGTCAGGGAAGGTGAAACCTCATGATGTCCACTGGGCCGCTGTGGCTGTTTAACCTGTGCCAGCCATACAGAACCTGACATGAGTGGTTGCTCCTCTCAAAGGTCAGAACTCAGGGTTTGGGATAATGGCACATATTCTATCTGTTTGGTTATCTACAATGGAAAGTGTAGACTGTCTGAATATCTTTTGGGCTGCAAACCGGAAACAACCCCAGATGCTGATCTAACTGGGTCACTCATCTAGAAGTCCATGGTAAGTGTTTTCCAGAGAGTGACCACAATCAAGCTGCAGATTGAACCTAAATCTGTGTCCAACCCAGAGTCTAATACTGCAAACCAGACTTGGGGTTGCTGGTGAAAGTTGACCTATCTGTCTCATGGTTGAAGAATTCCTAGACCATACCTAGCAGAGTAACCAGAAGTGGACTTTTAGCCCACTTCTTGAGATATCAGTCACCACTGTTGACTTCTTCAGCATAACAGTCATCTGACTCCAGCCATACCATGTGTCCCTTGAAGCTAATCTGTGCCACCTTTTAGGCTTTTGAGGCCAATTGAGCTCTGACTTCGTGGCATTTTTCACCACATCGACTAAAATGGGCCAACTCTACGATGTTCCCTCCTTTTCCACACATGTTGGTTAGATAATTCGTTGATTAGGTATGCTTTTCTCTGAAAGGGGATTATCTCTTCCAGATTGCCTCCAAGATAAGGATGAAATGTTTGGGGGATCTAGGAATCTATTTCACAAATTTGGAATTTCGTGCTAATAATTCCTGGGTGAAATGTCTTTCTTTCCCATACCTGCAATTCTAGACCAGCCTGGCTTTTGTATCCTCTGAGTTGCATCCCAGCCTAGCAGCAGTTATGGGACTCCAACTTAGTTCTGGTTAAGTTTTATGTAAATATTCTTGTATCTGTTTTACCTGGCTCTACTACACAAAATGTCTAGAAAAAAGTAAAGGGCGACTAGAATAAAGGTGAGATTATAGATATCGGAATGAGACACACTGATTCTGTGGAGATAGAGGGAGAACAACAACCTGGAACGTGGGAAATGAACAACTTAGACCTCGGAAGCTACGGGGAATGGTGGGACATTAACAACTTTTTTTCTTTCTGAATAACCCCTGGTGCAGCCCACAAAAGAGTCTGGAAATACTATTAGAACAGACGGTAAGACAGAGGCTGTGGATTCAGCTCCTTTTGGTCTCCACGTTACTCTTAAGAATCCTTTGAGACTATTCTATCTCTCTGTGATGTAGGCATGGAACTCTAGTGGGCAGTGTGCACTCTCGGTGCCCATGGTTCAACGCCACAGTTTTTCAGATGATGGACAACCATTGCTTTTTCCTGAAGAGACTTAGTACCCTGTGGCTGAGCTTAAGCGGGACTCTAGGAATTACTGATTGCATTTTCTTCTTCTTCTGTGAACTGCGATTTCTCCTTCTGTTTTTCTACTACCTAGAGATTAATCTGTATTTGTCAATATTTAGGTAAATCAGAGACATAAAGCAGATAAGGAACCCTAGACACAGCTTCTAGCATAGCTGGACTCTTGCCTGTTTCTCTTCCCACTTTATGAGATCAATTATATTGGCACAGAGAGATAGCCTTAGATGGGTCTCTCAGGATCAATTAGAGAAGCATACTTCTAGAGAAGCTGGTAGAACAGGGCAGGAGGGCCAGTGAGGATCAAAGCTTCTATCCAAATGTTTTAGCCTAGCTGTGTGTGGCAGACGAATCCAGGAAAGCTCCCAGATCCCTGGAAGGGATTATTAAGAGAGGATCCATTAGATTAGAATGCTAGGTTGGGTGTTCATCTATCACCTTCTGAGTCAGATTTCCAGGGTTAAGTCTGTGGTAGGGCTGCAGAGAAATGCTCGCCTGGGAAAGCCTCTGATCAAGTGCAACATAGGTGACTCCCGCACAGGGAGAAGTCCTCTATTTGAGGAACATCATATGTGTTTGGATGTATCTGTGCTCTTCCTCAGCAGAGGACCATTGACTGAATGACTGTTTGACAATTACGCATAAAGAGCCCTATATTATTTTGAATTTAGTAAATATTGGAACAGAAACAAACAATATTATCTACTTTCAAATTGAATAACAGCATGAGCAACTTCCAGGTAAATGTCACAGGAGGAAACTCTGGGGCCTTGCTCATCACCAGAAACCTTGAAAATCCTGATGCAACCTGTAGGGTTAACCTTATCAACACTTAGTTTTTTACCATATAGATTTATCTTCATAAAAAATATTTTCTTTGGACCTTTATTTTGTTATATGCCATGAAGAATAAATCATTTATTTCCTTTGCGATAAGAACATCACATTTTTACACCTCAAGTATTAATGATGCCATCCCCCATGTAGTTTTTGTTGTGATGGCCTGAATGTTTATGTCCCTTTGCAAATTCCTATGTGGATAATTTTAGGCGTGTGGCCTTTGGGGAAGTGGTGAGGCCAAGAGTTCTTCATCTTCATGAATGGAATCAGTGCTCTTTCAAGGGAAGTTGAAGGCAATGCCCTTGTCCCGTGTGCAAGATGGTACCATCTATGGGGAACAGGGCTCTCAACATATACTAAATTTTCTGCTGCCTTGATCTTGCACTTTCCAGACTCCATAACTGTGAAAAATACATTTCTGTTGTTTATCCTTTACCCAGTCTGAGGTATTTTGTTATAGCAGCCTGGATGCACTATGACACTTTCTTAGGCACTTTGGTCTATTTCTGAATTTTTAGTTTCAGTGACATATGAGTTTTTAATCAATCAAGATTTTTCACAGAGCTTGCCAGTCTTGTTTTTTGCTTTTTTTTCAGAGTTTTCTTGTCTATTCTTATGTGTGTTTTCATCTATATAATATTTTATAGTAACGTGTACTTCCAATATTTAATGGTATCTGTATAGGAACAAAATTGAATTTATAAATAAACTTAAGGACAATTGATGTTGATAATATTGAGATTTGCTGCCTAAGAATATGATACAAATTGTCTATTTGCTTATGTCTACATTCATATATTTCATAAACTTTCTATGTTTTTCTCATATTCTGTACACATTTTTGTAATGTTTATTCCTAGTTTATTTTATTCTGCTAAAAAGTAATTTGAGACACAATGAAATTGCCAAGTGTCTATTTGAGTAAGAGCAATTGATAAATTATAAAATATCAGACCAAAAGTTATTTAGTGCTTCTCTGACAGAGTAAGAAGCAAGTATTTATTGAAAAAATGTAGAAACAAAAAAATCATTTGATTGGTGGTAGCACAACTTTTTTATTGTTTTTTGTTCGTCTGTTTATCTTGTTGGACAGTTTCTATTTATATAAGGATGTTGGCTACTCCTGATTGGTTGAGCTTCATTTCTCTTTTTTAAATAGGCAGCTACAAGAAATATTTAAGTTTTGCTTGTATTTGCAAATCAAGCAAGGTTGAGATCACTTATGAGACCTAACTAATTTCGTCTGCTCAGAGATTATTGAGACGTGATCTCCATTTTAATTTATTTTAACAAATTTTCTGTACTTTTAATTCCCATCCAAACTGTAACTTATAAATTATTATTGTTGTACATATATAGGCCCATGTTGTGTATGCTTTGAAGACATGTCCTGCTTTCAAACTCATTTGTATTATGTTATTATTGAATTTGCCCCATTTATTGGAATTATATACTGCAATCTCCCAACTACAAGAGGTATGAGTTCTGAGGAGATCACAGTAAAGATGAGTCAGAAGTGAAAACGGTTCTCCAACTCACACATGCAGTAAAAACAAATTTCACGTGGATATAATGAGTAATTATTTAAAATTTAAAATACCCTGAAAACATTAACGTTTATCTCATTACTATGTAATATGGAAATTACAAGACAAAAAAACCCAAAGACTTATTTTTAAAATAGAAATGGAGCTTTTTATATGATGAAATGGTCCATAATTTAAATGTAAAAAGTGAATAGGAAATACATGAAATAAAATAAAATTATTTGTAAAAGTGACAATGCCCGTATTAGATTTAACAATATCTTACAATGAAATAAGTTGAAACCTACAAAATAGAAGAAAGTTTAAAATTAGGCAAATATTATGAGCCAGGTGAAGAATAAATACATATATCAATAAGCATTTAATGTATTTTGTCTTAGATTTTATATGAAATAATAAAAAGTAAGCAAACCAATAGCAAGGTAATTTCACCCTGATTGATTCAAACTGAAAAAATATTAACATTTCTCCATTGGAAGTTGGATTCATGGATTGGCCTCATGCTGCATTCAAGGCACTTTAGCCAGGACCCAACACTCATTGCCAAGAGTCATCAGGCTAGAAGTTTGCTTTTAAGATGTTCCCCGGCCTGCGACCAAGACACTTTGTCTTGACTACTTCTTCAACTCTGACATAGGTTTTGCTGATATAAATGAAAACCCAGCTCTATACCTACCAAGCATCTACATGGCTAGAGCTGCACATTGAATATTTAGGCACTAGGCAAGAGGTCTTCCCAGGTTTCCAAGCAGACTTTCTAGAATTTCCCAAAAATACTGACATTGTCTTTTTCAGACCCAATCTCCCAAAGAGAATCAGAGAGATGGTCTGGAAGCCATTTAGAATCTCCAGCCTCCAATTTAGTAACAATGGACTTGGATACAAAGAGGCAACCTACTGACCTCAAAGACACCAGCCCAGATTCTGGGCATTGAATTCCTGCCTCCCCATGAAAGATCTCATCTGAGTCACATCAAAGCCCACACTCTTCTTCAACGTTCACCTTCCAGACACGCTCCAAAACAGCCCCTCAGAATTGTCTTGAGATGAAACAAAAGGTGATGAAGCTCCAGGTTTGGAATGCCTGCCTCATTCCTCACTCCTGAAAAGTCTACACCTGCTGGTTAGAACTCTCATACCTTAGGGAGCCCGGGCTCTCAGAGTGCATCCTCTAACAGGACCTCCTGGCCTTTTCCTCCTTGGAGGAGAGTGCCCAAGAATAAGAGGGAATACATGGCCTCCACTCTCACTTGACTTGATTGACTGATTAACTGATGTCTGAGGAGGAAACATATGTAGGGAACAGCCTGGGTCTTTTGAATCCCTGTTCCCCAGCTATGATGCCTGTGCAAATGGAGGGAGAATCCCAAAGTATTGTTGGGAGGTAGACAGACACTGGCTAACACAATTAAGTAAATATAAGGTGACTTGAAGGGAAATTTATCATATGTCATATACAAAATTTTAGTTAGTGAACTTTATTTAAAAACAGTCACAATTTGTAAGGGGAGTAAAGTATAATTTTAATGGGGAACTATGAAAATTATCTGCACTTGCTATGTAAATGATTGAGTTAGGGGTAACAATCTGAAGGTCATGAGCTTGATATCTGCTACTTAATTTCATAAGACATTTACTTGCAAATGGTTGTCATTTTTGCTCTCACCATATGAAAATTTTTTCTTGCTAAGAGCATTCCTATGAAAGAAAAACTAGAAATTTTGCCAATTTCGGTTATTAAAACAATAAAACTGGTTTGTTTGTTATTCTTAACCAAATGCTCCTACAGATGGCACATAGTACCCATGCTTTGATTGTTTTTTTCCCACCTTAAGTCAATTGCCTTTCATTTTATTCATCAAACTGTTTTTACTGTAGATAGACATTGCAGTTGTCATGTGCCCTATGGATTTGTACTTTATTAGAAATATGAATTCTCAGGCCGAGTATATTGGCTCACGCCTGTAATCCCAGCACTTTGCGAGGTGGAAGAGAGTGGATCACCTGAGGTCAGGAGTTCAAGAACAGCCTGACCAACATGGTAAAACCCCATCTCTCTACTATTTACAGTTCGCATTGTACCTTGCAATGAATATACATTTTATCCAAAAAGCCTAAAAAATAATGAAATTGGGGGTGGGGGCATGGCTGGAAGTATAGATAAAACAAAAATGACACATGACTAGCAGCTGTTAAAGCTGGGTGACTGGTCTGTTATACTTTTTTTGTATTGTGTATGTTTTTAGTGATCTGTAATAAAACACTTGTACAAAATGACAAAGTTTATCTACACTTAGCTCTTAAGGTCTTGGTTACCTTTGGGAAGGGGAAAGTGTCAGGGGCATGAACAAATCTGATTCTTAGATACACAAGTGTATTTATTTAGTAATAATTCATCAAACATTCCCTAAATGCTTTGTGCCTATATTGCTGTATGCATGTTATTTATCAATAAAAATGTAAAGAGTGCATGTTTGCATAACAATCCTAAATTAATATTTTAGAATAATAGCAATGTTTTGTTTTGTTTTCAAGTGGGGCGTGTTCACTCAGGACATCATCAGGTGTATGTTAATGTTCCAAGTTATTTATTTATGTTTTAACTTTTGGGTGAGCCCCCCTGGGTCTTTTAATTTTTACTTCAACACAGTAAGTAGCATGGTTTTAACTTTTTGGAATGCAGCTTTGTTTTCATCAAGGTTCTCCCCGAAGAATGATGCTCACCCAGGCCAGGGCACACAGTGACCCGTGCACAGGATGCACTGAGCACACACGGCACTGGGTGAACCAGGAACAGAAGGAGAAGCCAGCCCGGGTCTGCAAAATATACTTTGCAGGAAAAGCAGATAAAATGGAAAGGTCACAATTCAGCAGCAAACGTTTTCACATTCATTGGAGAAATCATTTCTAACAAAAGCTGCTCGTTAAAGCCATGGTTTTCTGGCTTGCCTACACATTGTAATCACCTGCACGACTTTCAACCATATTTTTTTCAGATCCAGCTCCAAGGATTCTGATTTAGTTGTGCGGTTACAACTTGGGTTTAAGGGATTTTGAAAGTTTTCCTCCCCGCAGGTGATTCTCTTGCGCCAGGGGTAAGAAGCACTGGATAGGGGTGAGGGATGCTTTAGCTGTGAGAGATAGCCATGTACGCTTCAGGATTTGCCCCATCGCATATCTGGAGTTCGGGGTCTTAGAAAGCTTTCTTGCCCTGTTAAAAATTAAAGGATGGCTTCAATACATACTTAGCTGCTTGGCTACATTGCAGAAAAACAAATTGCCTTTCCAGAGATCAGTTTTTTGAGACAGAGTTTTGCTCTGTCAGCCAGGCTGGAGTGCAGTTGTGTGATCATGGTTCATTGCAGCCTTGACCTCCCAGGCTCAGGTGATCCTCCAGCTCCAGCCTTCTGAGTAGCTGGGACTGAAGTCATGCACCACCAGGCCTGGCTAATTTTTCAATTTTTTTTTTTTTTTTTTTTTTTTTTTTTTTTTTTTTTTTTTTTTTTGTAGAGATGGCTTTCTCTATGCTGCCTGGGCTGGTCTCAAACTCCTGGTCTCAAGTGATCCTCCCACCTCAGTCTCCCTAATAGTTCGACCTACAGGCACAGGGAAGCATGCCCGGTGTATTTATTAAAATGTAGTTACCAGAATATTTAAAATTCACTTGTGCCTCTCATATTATTTCTTAGAGAATTGCCTCCCTTTTGAAATCTCAGGCTGCCTGCTCTAAAACCTGGATGTGCCAGGAAAGTAAAACATCTGAAATTTTAAAACAATTGTCATTATATTGATTCCATATATGAATAACACATATATATTATTCATTAATACAAATAATCTTACATACAAATGTAAATGCAAATATTTTACAGGCAGGGCCAGTTTCTAGTTCACAGAGGAAGCCCTGCTAGAAAAGGATCCAGGAAAAACCTATAATTCTTGCTTTATTCAACCCAGTGTCAAATCACATATGTCACTCATGGTCTGAGGCGGCAGGGTAGGGAATTGAACTACATCCAATCATGGGTCTTGGAGTGGAAACTATCTAATCAGGTGCACAGCTGGAGAAGAATGGGCAGCTTTTTGGAAGTACGGAGGCCTTGGCCTGTCTCTCCACTCAGAGCTCAGGACACTAGAGCCACCTCAACATAATCACCTGTTTTTTAGTTATTTTAACACTCCAAAAGGGAACTAGTTTTCTCATGCATTTTCCAAATGTGTGGCAGGCAGAGACTCAAATCTAACTCCCTGTTGCCCCAGCCTAACTCTGGCTTGCAATCAGATTTTAAATTTCCAGTTCTTTCCTGACACTCACCAACACTAACTAACCTTCCATAATTCACAACATTATCAACTGTTCTTTATTGTACATTTCAGACACAGTATTTCAATTCTTCTTTTTGTCAAAAAGCAGTGGATGTCATTTAAAAAAATTTTTTCTCATTTGTAAACATTTTACAGGAGATGAAAGCAGAGAATAATCCCCTGACACCCCACTGTAAAAAAAATAAATAAAAAGCGGAAAACCTTTGTGCCCCTTTGTTTAAACTTCTCTTGGCACAGACACCCCATCAGAAAGCCTTTGGGTTCAGGTTTCATTTTGGAAACTTCACAGGGCAATACATCCTCAGCCATCCTGTTATTTTCTTGGTTTTGAATTTCAAAACTGTTTGAGGATTCCCCAAGATGCCAACAGTGGCCATGACTCTTGAAGTGTCTAGTAAATAGCATCCCTTGTGTCATCTCCTCTCAGGGAACAGCCCAAGGTATGGGAATGCAGCCTCTCTGTGGAGTGGTTGTTTGAGCTGTGCCTGGAAGGAATCTCTAGGTATACCCTTGCGCTAAAAGCAAACCCATTAGGTCATTAAGATTTTCTTACCCCAAAGCTTAGTTTCCATTCCTTAGAGACACATTGCAGGCCAGGCAAATGGATGCTGATATTGAGGAAAAAATGTTCTCAGATTGGTGAAGGGAGAGAAAATATTTCAAAGGACAAAGAAACCCAACCTAGTGAGGCAGTGCAAAAACCTGCAAAGTAAAATGCACCTCAGGGACACAGAGGAGCACAGGGTAGCGGCTCCTGGTAGGATGGTCATGACCCACTTCACTGAACCAGATGTGAGTGGGGAAAATATCCCAAGTAATAGAATGGCTTGACTTGACCCTTGGGTCTGATATGTCTGTGTTTCAATCGGCACTGTCACCTTCTAATTTTGTCACCTTGAAAATGTTTTTGTACTTACTTTAACTTCACTTTTTAATTAACTGTAAACTATGTTTTATCAGTAGAGCTTGAAAGGCATGAAAATATTTATAAAGCACATTAAGTTGGTGAATTTTGAATAAAATTAAGTAGTAATATATTTCACTTGTTAAAAATTGTTACTTGCCTATTTCTTTAGCAGAATGAGTGTCGTACATTTCCCAGGACTGTTTTTTATTTGTCTGAGAGGTGATTTCAAGCAGAATCTCACGGCTTACTGTTGGGAATGTTACCAGGTGTATTGATAGGGATAGTCTCTCTTCCACTACGGTGGTAGGAAATGAATACATACCTACAAGCACGTGAGGTAGATTAATTGTTAAATTACATAAATTTATCACATCAGTTATTCTTTTTTCAAAACAGAGAACTTCTGATAGTGAGTATCTCTGTTCCATATGCTGTCATCTGGGTGTTTGAGGGTAACGCTAAGTTTTAGGAGCTGGGACTTGGCACCGCCTGGAAGTGTTCACATATGATTGTTTACTAAATGATTTGTTATGAACATAATTAAATTACATGTTTATTTTCTGAAAGGGATAGATACTTTGGCTTTTCTTGTTGAGTTATAAAATGTAAGCCCCTTATAACTTTCTTTTTTAATTTTAATTTTATTTTTTAGACTTAGTGTCACTCTTGTTGCCCAGTCTGGAGTGCAATGGCACGATATTGGCTCACTGTAACCTCCACCTCCCGGGTTCAAGCAATTCTCCTGCCTCGGCCTCCCAAGTAACTGGGATTACAGGAATACACGACCACCCCCGTTTAAGTTTGTATTTTTAGTAGAGACTGTGTTTCTTCATGTTAGTGAGGCTGGTCTCGAACTCCTGACCTCAGGTAATCTGCCCGCCTCAGCCTCCCAAAATGCAGGGATTACAGGCATGAGCCACCATGCCCGACCATAATTTCCTCTCTTTTAAACCTTAGATTTGAATGATTTTTGCTGGATTCTTCAAACATGAAGTATTTTTTAAATTGAAAACTAATTGAATGACTTTAACTGGTAAGTAGAAGTCTTAGACCGTTGACTAAAAGCTAAGGCTAACGTTGACCCTGCAAAAGGGGGCCACTGAAGGCCCAGTTGATTATTCCTGGGTGTCTGCCCTGCAGACATCAAAGTCTGCTCACACCAACCATAGAAGGAGCCTTTGTCACTGTCAGAAGATACAGAGCTTTGGTAAGCTGGAAGTTGACAGGCAGATGCAGTTGGGGTTGAGATTGAAGAAAAGTTGGGATATTCTTTCTAGAATGGAGTTGTTATTGTCCTGAGACTGTTTATAGACTTTGTCTAAGAAGTTACTTAAGAAGTGTTGTAACAAGGAAAAAGTACAAATGATTAGATCTTTGAGGATCTCAAAGGTTAGGTGGAAAAGGGTTTTATTTCATAGGGAGGAGAAAATAAGTTTACAAAGAAGGTTGGAAAGGAAGCACAGGATGGAGGGTAGCAAAATCAGATCCCAGATAAGATAATGTTTCATCTTGAAGTCAGCCTGTTCTTAGGAGGGATATGTATAAATATGGGTTGTAGGTTCTCTGAGGCTGTGGGTGAGTCAAAGTTCAGGGGCTGAGGGAAGAAGGGGAACAAGCAAAGTTTTGTTAACAAGTACTCTGTTTTGACCACTGAAGACTAAATTACAGAATGGTTGTTCATTTTTAAAAATAGGAATTTGTAATCTGTGTCCGTCTTTGTGATAGGTTAAAAAAAAGGGGGGGGGGGAACATCCACAAAGTCATAATGGGAAGCACGTTTCTCTTCACTAAGCTGTTCTTTGAGAACACAAAGAATGGGGGAATTTCTTTAAATATAGCTATTTCCAGGATTACCTTCACCCACAACTGTTCCTTTTCCTAGACATCTCTTTCATTTGTCAGTTTCTGAGTTGTATTTTTATAATAAAGTGGTAAATATAATTAGACTTATTTGTTGAGTTTTTTTGAGTAACTCTATCAAATTATTTAACTTGAAAAGGGGTTTATGGGAGTCTCAGATTTATAGGCAGTAGCTCAGAAGTATAGATGGGCTTATGGGACATGTGACTAACCTCTGCAGTGAGAGGGGTGATGTGGGACTTAGCCCTGAATTTGTGGGATCTGTGCGAACTCTAAGTTGTGTCAGAATTAAATTTTGGGGCAAGAAATGGGTGTTGGAGAAGCAGTGGGTTTTCAGGGAACTTTACACATTTAGGATCAAAAGTGTTGTAAGGAGAAAGACAATGTGGGGGCCTTTGCTGGAGAGAGACTCCAGGTGTCTCGGGGAAGGTAGGCTCTGCTCTGCACACAGGCTGCTACGCCATGCACTGCCCTGTGGTTCCAGGCATCCTCCCATGGTAAGAAGGACCGACGACTCTGAGGGAAGAAGTTCTGAGAACAGATGCCTTCTACCCTCCTGCCAACCTGAGGCCACCACATGTTTTTCACCCACTGAACATACACACTGCATGTTGACGTGGTCAAGCCCCTCTCAGGACAAGGCTTTGGCATCAAGATTGTTGCCCATCCTACCTTTCCTCATAGACTTTCCCACCAAAAACCCACACACGTGCCTACAAGACCCCTGGCATATGTTCTACTTCAGACACCGAATCTGCAGTGGCAACCTGGTTTTTTCACCATCGCAGATTTCTGTGCCACCTGATCATAATCTCGTCTTCCTGCATGAACATAGAAATAACTCAGAGAAAAGTTTCACCTGGGTCAGTGTCTGTAGCATGAACCAGTCCTCCCACCAACCCTGTACAGTCTCTCACTTCTGGTTTCTTAATAGCACCTTCCCCTCTTTTACCTTTTAGTTCACCTCAAACCCTTTCTTTTATGTGCACACAGAGTGCCCAAGGCCACCCCTCAGTTGCCTGAATCCAGCACCTACCAAAATTCAGATGTCCAGTAGTTCAAGACCATGGGCCTAGACTAAGTTTTTGCAGAAGGCAATACAAATTAGAAATGAGAGGCTCTATTCTCCCATTTGAAAATAAAAAAAAGATTTTTTTCTTTTCCTTTTTCTTAAACAATGTAATCTGGAAAACTTTAATTAGTAATTTTTTGAGGCAGAGTCTTACTCTTTTACTTAGCCTGAAGTGCAACGGCATAATCATAGCTCACGGTAACCTTAACCTCTTGGGTTTGAGCAGTCCTCCTGCATCAACCGCTTAATTACCTAGGACTATAGGCATGAACCACCATGCCTGGCTAGCTTTATTTATTTTTGTTTTTATTTTTTTTCAAGACAGTGTCTTGCTCTGTGGGCTAGGCTGGAGTGTAGTGCCATGATCTTGTCTCAATGCAACCTCCACCTCCCAGGTTCAAGCAATTCTCCTGTCTCAGCCTTTTGAGTAGCTGGGATTACAGGCGCACACCACCATGTCTGGCTAATTTTTTGTTATTATTATTTTTAGTAGAGAATGGGTTTTACCATTTTGGCCAGGCTGGTCTCCACCCCCTGACCTCATTATCCACCTGCCTCAGACTCCCAAAGTGCTGGGATTACAGGTGTGAGCCAACATGCCCAGCCATATTTATTTTATTTTTTTGTAGTGACAGAATTTCACCATATTGCCTGTACTGGACTCAAACATTTGGCTTGAAGGTATCCTCATGCCTTGGCCTCCCCAAATGTTCAGATTACAGGCATGAACCACCATGAGTGGCCTGGAACACTTTTACATGTACCTTTTTTTCTCTGCTTCTTTGAAATATAAGCAAATCATTTTAACAGCTAAATAAGCCTTCTGTCATTCTTCATGACAGAGAATTGTCTTTATCTAAGACCTGGAAACTATTGCTTTGTTTTTTAATTTGGCAAAGATTTATTTATTTTTTATTTTCAGTCCTTTGAAGTAGGCACAGAGCAGTACAGTGGCTCATGTTTTTAATCCTAGTGCTTTGGGAGGCTGAGATGAGAGAATTGCTTGGGCCCAGGAGTTTGAGACCAGCCTGGGCAGCATAATGAGACACTTTCTTTATAACAAATTAAAATCAACTAGCAGGGCATGGTGGCACAGGAGGCTGAGGTGAGAGAATCATTTGAGCTCAAGAGTTTGAGGCTGCAATGAGCCATGATCACTCCAATCTACCACTGTATTCCAGCCTGGATGACAGAGGGAGACCCTGTCTCTAAATAAATAAGCAAATAAAAAAATGTGTTTTTCCATACATAAAAATAAGTTAATAAACAGATAAATAAAATAGACATGGATTTGCTTAGAATAAAGCTAATTATAAGATAACAGAAAAGTGAGCACCAAAGATGGGGTTCACCTTAGCAAGTGATTCCAGCCTATTAGGACACTCACAGAATTCTCCCTGCAGCACGACCAACATGAAAGTAGAATGTCATCATGTCAGGCTATACCAGCGTCGGAAGACTAAACACTGTGGGGAAGAACCTCCCTTATGGAATATTATCAACAGGTGAGAGACCAGCTCCTGCCCTGATGGGCTACAGAGATGAATTCTTGAGATAACACATTGCAGAAACATGCATAGAGTAGTTTAACCTTTTTTGTGTGTAACCCTTTCTCCATTTTCCTGCAAAATCCTCCCTAGAAATAGTGTTCGCTTTTAAGTTTTGAGGGTCTGGTAGGACTGAAGCTGCATGCTGCAGGAGATACCTGGGGTAGGAAACTAACACAAACTGCAGCTACAGGCACAAATACTCATGGCCTAATGTAAAGTGAAAACAATAGAAAGGTCTTTACTGTTATTCACCCAAGTGAGTGAACAGAGACTTTCCACATAACCAACTTGCCACTGAGACTAATGAAGGCCAGATTCCACTGGATCAAGACTATGAGTTACTCATGGGAAGATCATAGGACACAGCCCAGAGAGTTTTCATACTGGAGTCTGGGTACTGGGTCTGTCCCGGTCTTCTCGGGTTTCTGTCTGTAGAGACCCCTATGTGGCTGCTCTTACCACAGCCCGGTGCTGGCTGTGGTTGCTGGCTTAGTGCACCTGGTCTTTTTCCAAAAAGAGGGAGGAGTTGGCCACATCAAGAAGCTCCTCATCAATCTGAATGCAGCTCTGTAAAAAGTGCCTAGAAACCACGCAAAGAAAAGTCAGTGGTCTGCCTTGTTTTCACCGTATGTGACACCTCCACTAGAAATTCTGCTTTTCTCTGCACTCCAGCCTGGGTGACAGAGCGAGGCTTCCTCAAAAAGGAAAAAAGAAAAAGAAAAAGAGAGAAAGAAAGACAGAAGGAAGTAAGGAAGAAGAAAGAAAGAAAAAGAAAGAAAGAAAGAAAGAGAAAAAAAGAAGAAAGAAAGAAAGAAAGAGAAAGAAAGAAAGAAAGAAGAAAGAAAGAAAAAGAAGAAAGAAAGAAAGAAAGAAAGAAAGAAAAAAGAAAGAAAGAAAGAAAGAAAGAAAGAAAGAAAGAAAGAAAGAAAGAAAGAAAGAAAGAAAGAAAATAAAAGAGAAAAGAAAAGAAAAGAAATTCTGCTCTTCAGATTAGGCACATAAGGAGAATCTGTATGAATCTCCAGCAAGGAAGGAAACCAGAGGACAAGTTAAAGTCTTGGAATTCACATCTGAGTACACAGACTCGTTCTCCAACCCTCTTCTTTTTATTCTGCCAGCTATGGCCTAGGTATGAACATGACAGGTACACAAGGGTTCCAACACCTGACAATCTGCTTCAGTAAAAGAAGAGTGCCCTCCCTCTTGCTCCCCATACAACTCATGGTACTAAGAAATGGTGTGGGACTTCCCAGATGAGTTGACAAGAGAGGCCTGGCTCTGGGGCCTGTCCTGAGCTGCCCTGTGTTATTTGTAGGTGCACCCAGCCAATAGCCAGGGGCATCAATGATGAGGCCTGAGTTGACATCCGTGTTTTCAGATAAGGCTTTTACACTGAGCCTTTGTAAAGTCAAAACTCAGAAATTTCAGGGCACAATGAAAGAACATCTCACTCTCTTGAGCATCTCTCACTAACAGAGGTGGATACAGAGCTGTCTCAAGAATGTGGGTTCCTGGTTTCTTAACTGATGTTGGGTTGTCACCAAGAAAGTGTGTTAAACTCTTCAAGGTTCCATCTACTGGGTCCCTTCTTTCTGTAAGACCTACCCAAAAGCCCAACTATGCTACTAATTGTTCAGTCTCCTCTTCCATGTCAACTCTTCATTTGTACACAAGTATGCAAACACAACTTCCCCTTAATTCCCTGGAAAGAACTAAATGCAGCCTGGGTTCCAGGATATAAGAGACAGCTGGAACATAACCTTGTTTTTCTTACCATCTCTGGGACCCAATAAAAACATCTGTGTATTTGAGGCTTCCCCAGCCTCCAAGCATGCACAGTGGGGATGATGCTAACATCTACTTCCTAGGGATTGTATTAGATGTATATAAGATAAAACATAAAAATCATGTGGTGTTACCTGTAGATAATGCACACACTTAGAGATGGAAGCATTAGGAGAATATGTAGAAGGTAGCATGGGCCACAACTCAAACAAGCCTGGGTCTGGCAGGGTGATCTTGGGAATGTCACTTCTCCACTGCGCTTCATTTTCATTCTGCTCCAGTATGAAGTTGAAATTAAATGTAGATACTGTCCTCTGGCATTCATATAGTTTAGCTGTGTGTTCCACCCAAACTTCTCTGTGTATTATAACCCCCAGGTGTTAAGGGAGAAACCTGAGGGGAGATGATTGGATTATGGGGACGGGTTCTCCTCATGCTGTTCTTGTGATAGTGAGTTCTCATGAGATCTGATAGTTTCATAAGCATCTGGTACATCCCATGCTCTCACTCACTTCACTTGTCAGCCACTGTAATTGGAAGGTTTCTGAGGTGCCCTCCCAATTATGTGGAACTGTGAGTCAATTAAACTTCTTTTCTTTATCAATTACCCAGTCTCAAGTACTTCATCATTGCAGTATGACAAAGTCCTAATACAGCCATTCAACTTTCTAGTGCTTTCTCTTTATATTTAGAATCCTATCCATGTGCCTTCTCACGTCTATGACAGGGAAACTCTTCACAAAATCTCACAGTACTAGGTGGTTAGTGACTCAGTTTTTTATTGAATAAAATGGCCTACAGCCTGATGACAGTAATATGGCCCTTGGGTTTTGAGGAAAATATCATGTTGTAGGTTGGCCAAAAAGGAGATAGCAGTCCAGCTGAAATTTGTTTTCTTATACTGGCTTTAAGGCAGTGATTAGAAAAGGCCTAAGAGGTGGGTTCTGTAAGGGATTGCTGGAAGGAAAGTAGGAATATGGAAAGTCATGAGACATATACTGTCATCTCTTCTTGCTTCCTCTCAAGTCACATGCAAATTCAGGGAGAGTTAGTATGAAACACACAATGGAAATTTGGGCTCTAACATATGCAATCTGATTCTTCATGGACTTCATTTGGCCATATCAGTTCCAACAATTTCAGCCAATGTTTAAAAACCTTATAAGCAGATAAAATTTTAGTGTTTCAACAAGCCATTTCCTATCTTTCATTCTGAAAATCCATTTTAAGTCATTTTTTTAACAGCATAGGGGTACAAATTCAGCTTCTGTCCAATGAAATACAGAAAAGGATATCACTTTTGTATTAGTTCAGGCTGCTATGCCAAAGAACCATAGATAAGCAGCTTATAGACAACAGGACTTAATTTCTCATACTTCTATAGGTTCGAAATTTGAGATCAGGTTGTCAGCACGGTTGAGCTCTGGTGATGACTCGCTTCTGAATTTCAGACTGCAGACTTCAAGTTTTACCATCATTTTGCAGAAGGAGGAAGAGAGCCCTCTGCGGTTCCTTGTATAAAGCCAGTAATCTCTATTATGAAGGTCCCACCCTCAGGAGTTAAGTACATCTTTCATCCGTATAGCATTACAACGGGGGTTACAATTTTAACATAAATACAGGAGAAAAATTATTGGAACTCTCAAGATTTTTGTTTCCTTTTTTTTTTTTTTGAGACAGTTTCACTCTTGTATCCCAGGCAGGAGTGCAGTGGTGTGATCTTGGCTTGCTGGAACCTTCGCCTCCCAGGTTCAAATGATTCCCCTGCGTCAGTCTCCCAAGTAGCTGGGATTACAGGCATGCACCACCACACCTTGCTCATTTTGTACTTTTAGAAGAGACGGTGGTTTCACCATATTGTCCAGGCTGCTTTCAAACCCCTGACCTCAGGTGATCCACCCGTCTCAGCATCTCAAAGTGTTGGGATTACAGGTGTGAGCCACCGCACCCTGTCAAGATTTTTCTAAAGCTCTCATTTTTCTCCTACTGGGTTTTTCCTGTTTGCGCCCTCAATCTTTCTCTGTCTCTTTTTGTGTACACCTTTTTGTCTAATTCTCTCTCTCTATTGTATACCTCAAACACAGGAAGCAAGCTTCAATGCTATGAGATGCTCCATGTAAAGACCAACATAACAGAGCCTGAGGGGGTGCTCAGACCAGTAGAGAGAAGGAAAGTCAGGCTCTCCAGCCACACTAAACCCTGCCAATTTTCACATGAGTCAGCTTAAAGGCTCATGCTTTCCCAGTCCAGCTTCAGTTAAGACCACAGTCCCAATGTCATAAAAGACCTAAAGGCAGAGGTACCCAACTGAACTGTGTCCAGATTCTGGTCCACATAAATTATGAGATATTATATGTTGTTGAAAAGTGCTGACTTTTAGGGCAATGTTGTCAGAAAGGAGCAGATATCTAGCCTCATCTCCCAGGCCCTAGTATTCTCCATCCCTCTACTTATATCTTCCTCAGGCTGTCTGCAGCCAAACTTTCTAACCTCTGCCGAACTCACACCTATGAGTCTCTTCACTAAGGGTGGCTTCTCCCTGACACATACTTGTGCAGAGATGTCTCCCTGTTGTCATCCTTATCATGGATTAAACATCACCACAATGAGGCCTTAGTTCCTCCCATGCAATAATTTTCCAGCTTTTCTTCTCAACATTCCACTTTATATTATAGTCCTTCCTCTTTTCTTTCACATATACTTGCTTTAGTGCTTTTATCCAGCTGTCCTCAGAATGTTTGGTCCTGGGTTGGGGGGTGCAGGCATCATGTAATAATTTTCTGTACCACGTTGCACCCACCTGGTTAGCTGGCAAAGGGTGAGCGCAAGGGAAAAAAGACTGGCTAAGTGATTATATGGAGGATCTCTAATATCCCTTCCTCTTTTGACCACCTGATAATGTGGAGATCATTGATAACAACATGAGATGTGTGACTCTTACTTGTTCCAGCTGCTCCAGCAAAGCTCAGTGGGCACCAGAAACAGAGCTGGCTGTAACCACCTCCAGGCCATCACTAACTCTATGGCCCAATGCAGGAGCACTATGGAACAAATCAGGTATCTTGATTTTTCTGTCCTCAAGACACTGGTTCTTCAAGGTCCTAGGGGATAAAGTAGCAGAATCTGAAGGCCCCAAGTACAATGAGTGACCTTGGAATCCCCCTTTGCCTTCTATTTGCCTCTACCTTTTGGGTTGTGCTATTTATCCATGAGATATCCTCCCCTTATCCAGTGAAATTAGTTTCTACCACTTTCAAATGAGGACCTTAAGAACCCAACAGGAGCTGGGATTTTCCGTGGACTTCAGCCTCAGAGTCCAATGCTCTGGAACATTTAGCTCCGTCTCATCTTCATCTACCCAAGATGCCTCTGAAGTGGCCATGCCTCCCTCTGATTTGAAGGACCTACAGAGAGTGGATGCATTTCTGCACAGTCTCAGAGCAAGAATCAGGGCTGGAAGACACTTATGAGTATGTGAAATCGTCGAGGTCACCCAGTTCAAACAGCCCTATTTATGAGGAAGAAAACAGGCTTTCCTGCAGGCATTCTCTACATTAGGCTGAGGTGGAGCATAGCTCATTTTACTTCCAGGTGCCCTCAGAGCTGGATGCAAAACCCCAGTCCTGTCATCTTGAAATTGACATGGAGAGGTCCCCATGTGAACAGAACCCTGGATCTGCTCATTCTCTGTGCCCCTGAATGTGAAGCTACAGGCTCTAACTTCCAAAGCAAACCTGATAGGTGGGATGGAGCCAAGGCCTAGGAAGCTGGAGCTCTCTCTAATGCTCTGGAGCCTGCCCACCTCCTGAGATCTGGATCAGTCCCTGCCTCTTTTGGGGCCTCATTTTCCCAATTGTAATGTAATGAGAAATTAAATGTAAAATTGCATAAGCATATGCTCTGTGAGAATTTGGTGTCAGAGTCCTCAATACTGGATGATATATTTTGGTGGGAGGGGTTTGGGCCCCAGAGGTTCTCGGGACTCCTGACATATCCATTGCAGTAGGTGTAGAGCTCAGGAGATCCAGATCTTCTTTCCTGAGCCAGCTGATTACAATACAATGGACCACGGGCTATGATCTTAAATATGATTTCACAGGATTCCCCACCTTCAGCCACCATCTGCTCTGTGCTTCCCTTATTTTGGGGAGCTGATGACAACCTCCATTATAGTGAGAGAGTCCAAGAAACTAGACTTGTGGACCTGGAGAAAAGAAAAAAACACTTTTCTATTTCTCTCAAACTGTAGAATCTGTTGTCAAATATTTAATTTTGATTCCATCTGAGCTTGATAATACGTTCATGTGTTAAGAGCTGCTTAAATTTATTTTTTCTGTGGTGTGGGATAATGTCTTTTCCCATATTTTAAATCAACTTCTAAAAGCTCTCTTTAAAGTGGAGATGTGAACATCTTTGTGATATAAACTGCACATATTTGTTGCGAGATTGTTCTTTTTCTCTTTGTTAAAATGTTTTGTTTTATTCTGGTTTGGATGTCCTTCAGGGTTTTGTTTTGTGGCTATTTATTACTACAATGCAACTTCTCCCCTAATTAACTGACAGGTTTGTACATTCTCAATAAAATATTTTGGTAAAGTCTTTGTAAAAACTGTGTAGACAATTTTACAGTTTTCATAAACATAAAACAGTCAAGACTGTCATGATGAAAAAGAAAGATTGAGGGCTTAAAAATTAAAATATGACACAGCTAAAGTAGTGTGCAAAGGGAAATTTATGGCACTAAATGCCCACAAGAGAAAGCAGAAAAGGTCTAAAATCGGCATCATAATATCACAATTAAAAATCTAGGGAAGCAAGAGCAAACAAATTCAAAAGCTAGCAGAAGACAAGAAATAATTAAGATCACAGCAGAACTGAAGGAGATAGACACACAAAAAGCCCGTCCAAAAAATCAACGAATCCAGGAGCTGTTTTTTTGAAAAGATCAAGAAATAAATAAACTGCTAGCCAGAGTAATAAGGAAGAAGAGAAGAATCAAATACATGCAATAGGAAATGATAAAGGGGATATAACCATTGATCCACAGAAATAAAAATTACCATTAGAGAATATTATAAAAAACTCTTTGCAAATTAACTAGAAAATCTAGACGAAATGGATAAATTCCTGGACACATATACCCTCCCAAGTCCAAACCAGTAAGAAGTCGAATGCCTGAATATGCCAATAACAAGTTCTAAAATTGAGGCAGTAACTAATAGCCTACCAACCAAAAGAAGTCCAGAACCAGAAGGATTCACAGCCGAATTCTACCAAAGGTACAAAGAGGAGCTGGTACCATTCCTTCTGAAACTATTTCAAACAATAGAAAAGAGGTACTCCTCCTTAACTCATTTTATGCATCCAGCATCATCCTGAAACCAAAACTTGGCAAAGACACACCAGAAAAAGAAAATTTCAGGCCCGTATCCCTGATGAATATCGATGCGAAAATCCTCAATAAAATACTGGCAAACCGAATCCAGCAGCACATCAAAAAGCTTATCCACCACGATCTAGTCAGCTTAATCCCTCGGATGCAAAGCTTGTTCAACATATGCAAATCAATAAATGTATTCCATCACATAAACAGAACTAATGACAAAAACCACATGATTATCTCAATAGATGCAAAAAAGGCCTTCAGCAAAATTCAACACCTCTTCATGGTAAAAACTCTCAATGAATTATGTATTGATGGAACTTATCTCAACATATTAAGAGCTATTTATGACAAACGCACAGCCAATATACTGAATGGGAAAAACTTGAAACATTCCTTTTGAAAATCTGCACAAAACAAGAATACCCTCTCTCATCACTCCTATTCAATATAGTATTGGAAGTTCTGGCCAGGGCAATCAGTCAAGAGAAAGAAACAAAGCGTAATCAAATAGGAAGAGGAACTCAAGTTGTCTCTGTTTGCAGCTGACATGATTGTATATTTAGAAAACCCCATCGTCTCAGCCCAAAATCTCCTTAAACCAATATGCAACTTCAAAAAAGTCTCAGTATACAAAATCAGTGTTCAAAAATCACAAGAATTCCTATACACAATAATAGACAAACAGAGAGCCAAATCATGCATGAACTCTCATTCACAATTGTTACAAAGAGAATAAAATACCTAGGAATCCAACTTAAAAGGGATGGGAAGGACTTCTTCAAGGAGATCTACAAACCACTGCTCAAGGAAATAAGAGAGGACACAAACAAATGAAAAACAATCCGTGCTCATGGATAGGAAGAATCAATATTGTGAAAATGGCCATACTGCCCAAAGTAATTTATAAATTCAGTGTTATCCCCATCAAGCTCCCATTGACTTTCTTTACATAATTAGAAAAAAAACTACTTTAAATTTCATATGGAATCAAAAAAGATCCTGCATAGACAAGACAATCCTAAGCAAAAAGAACAAAAGTGGAGGCATCACACTAGCTATCTTCAAACTATACTAAAAGGCCACAGTAACCAAGACAGTATGGTACTGGTACCAAAACAGATATATTGACAAATGGAACAGAACAGAGGCCCCAGAAATAACATCAAACATCTACAACCATCTGATCTTTGATGAACCTGACAAAAACAAGTAATGGGGAAAGGATTCCTTATTTAATAAATGGTGTTGGGAAAACTAGATAGCCATATGCAAAAAAATGAAACTGGACGTCTTCCTTACTAGTTATACAAAAATTAACTGAAGATGGATTAAAGACTTAAATGTAAGACTTAAAACCATAAAAACCCCCCAAAAAACAAAGGCATTACCATTCAGGACATAGGCGTGGGCAAAGACTTCATGACTAAAACAGCAAAAACAATGGCAACAAAAGCCAAAATTGACAAACGAGATGTAATTAAAGTAAAGAGCTTCTTCACAACAAAAGAAACTATCATCAGAGTGAACAGGCAACCCACAGAAAGGAGAAAATTTATGCAATCTATCCATCTGACAATGGGCTAATATGCAGAATCTACAAAAAACTTAAGCAAATTTACAAGAAAAAAACAAACAACCATATCAAAAATGGGCAAAGGACATGAACAGACACTTCTGAAAAGAAGACATTTATGCAGCCAACAAACATATGAAAAAAAAACTCATCATCACTGGTCATTAGATAAATGCAAATCAAAAACACAGTGAGAAACCATCTCACTCCAGTTAGAATGGTGATCATTGGAAAAATCAGGAAACAACAGATGCTGGAGAGGATGTGGAGAAATAGGAACACTTTTACACTGTTGGTGAGAGTGTAAATTAGTTCAACCATTGTGGAAGACAGTATGGCAATTCCTCAAGGATCTACAATGAGAAATACCATTTGATCCAGCAATCCCATTACTGGGTATATAACCAAATGATTATAAATTATTCTACTACTTAGACACATGCAAACATATGTTTATTATGGCACTGTGCACAAGAGCAAAAACTTTGAACCAAACCAAATGCCCATCAGTGGTAGAATGAATAAAGAAAATGTGGCATGTATACATCATGGAATACAATGCAGTCATAAAAAGGATGAGTTCATGTCCTTTGCAGGGACATGGATGAAGCTGGAAACCAGCATTCTCAGCAAACTAACACAAGAGTAGAAAAGCAAACATCACATGTTCTCTCTCATAGTTGGGAGTTAAACAAAGAGAACACAGGGACACAGGAAGGGGAACACCACACACTGGAGCCTGTCAGGAAGTGGGGGACTATGGGAGGGATAGCATTAGAAGATATATTCCTGGCCTAGGCCACTATTGCGATTTTCTAAATTTTGTTTCAAAAACATGATGTTTCAAAAATTGTTATTGATATGTAATTATACAAATATATAGTTCAGAAAAAAGAATCAACATTAATTATGCTTTTTCCAAAATACTTTATGGTTTTGAGCTCTTCTAGCAGTGACATTTTTGCTGTAGGTAGTTGCTCTATATCTGGTATATTCATCATAGCATCCTTTGTACCCTTTACACTTATCCTTCAACTTCCCACTCTCCTTAAGTGTAAATTTTCAAGGCCAGAGCTCCCATATCTTCCCAATATTACTTTTTGAAAAGAAGCTCCTATGTACTGTTTTCTCTGGTTCTTGTTGGATATAATGCTAAAAGAGCTGGAAAATAATAATTTTTTAAAAAATTCGGTGATGAAATTAAGGTAAATATATTTTATAAATCTAATGAACAAAATGAGGCCAGCTGAGAACACAATGATAGTTGAAGAAGAACCTGAGATCCTGTTTCTCTCAATGGATGTATGAACTTAACTGCAATTGGGTGAGCAAAGCCAGTTGAGTTTGTAGCACCCCTCATGAGAAAAAAGCCAACCATAACCACATTTAGAAGAAAGAAAATTTGGTTACATTTGTGCACTACAGAACAGTGCAGTTAGATAAAATTCTGTCCATTCCATGATTCTCCCTCGGGAAAGAAAACAGAGTGAAACGTGTATGCAAACTTCTGACTTATTGATTTATACCTTTAACATTTAGTGTTGACCAGAATAGAGATAGAGTTTAAATGACAGCTTGGGTCGACTGAGAATAAAGATAAATGTTTCTTACAACAAAGAGACTGTAGTGCCTGCAACAGTGACAAAGAGAAGAGACTAAAGGCTCCTAAGAGGAAAGAGAGGTAAACCTTATTAACAAGAAAATACATACAGTAGTCCAAAGAAGACACATTTTGACAACAGATTGGAGAAGCTCCCGGAATGACTAGTGTGGCTGAATATTGTCAATTTTCCCATGTACAAGCTTTTTCATAAAGGATAAAATAGGTAGTGGTTTCTTAATTGACCAAAACCTTAACAAAACCACAGTACATAAAAGCAACCAGGAAATATAGCCTAATGAAACGAGAAAAATATATATTCAAGTGACCCTAAAGAAGCGGAGATCTATGAATTATTTTTTAACTTAAAATCATTTTATTTTTCTTTATTTTTTCATTTTATACACAGGATCTTACTCTATCTCCTGGGACAGATTGCAGTGGTGCAATCACAGCTCACTGTAACCTCAAATTTCTGAAGTAAAGCAGTCATGCCTCCTATGTCTCCTGAGTAAATATGACCACAGTTGGGCACACTACCACACCTGTATAGTTTCTTTAAAAGAATCTGTACAAACAGAATGTTGTTATGTTGCCTCGGCTGGTCTCAAACTCCTGGTCTCAGGCAATCCTACTGCCTCAGTCTGAAAGTGCTGGCATGAGCCACCATACCTGGAATTGTTTCTCTTTTAAGAAAAAAGGACTTTAAATCATTAATAGTAAAATAAAACAAAGAAAGGCATTGCATAACGATAGAGGGTTCAATTCAACAAGAAGACTTAACTATCCTAAATGTAGATGCACCCAACTTTGGGGAACATAGAGTTATACAACAAGTACTGCTAGACCTACAATAAGACTCAAGTAGCCACGCAATAATAGTAGGGAAACGCAACTCCCCAATAACAGTGTTTGTCAGATTATCTAGGCAGAAACTTAACAAAGAAATTCTGGAGTTTGATTTCGCACTTGATCAATTGAAACTAATAGACATTTATAGTATACACCACACATCATCTAAGGAACATAAATTCTTCTCATCGCTCACAGAATATACTCTAGGATTGACCACTTCCTAGCCATAAAGCAATTATCCATACATTTTTTAAAAATGAAAATTATGCCAACCATACTGTCAGGCCACAATGGAAAAAAGATAAATATCAATACCAAGAAAATCTCACAAAATCACAGAATGGCATTGAAATTAAACAACTTGCTCCTGAATGAATTTTGGGTAAACAACAAAATTGAGGCAGAAACTTAAAAAAAATTTGAAATAAATGAAGAGACACAATATACTAAAATGTCTGGGTTGTAGGAAAAGCTCTGTTAAGAGGAAAGTTGAGAGTGCTAAATACCTGCATCAAGAAGTTAGAATGATCTCAAACTAACAATTTAACATCACACTTAGAGAAACTAGAAAAACAAAAACAAACTAACCCCAAAGCTGGCAGAATGGCAAAAATATTCACAACCTATAAACCTGACAAAATCTAATACTCAGAATCTATAAGAAACTTAAAGAATTCACAAGCAAAAAATTACCCCATGAAAAAGTGGGCAATAACAGACAATGTTCAAAAGAATACATACAAGTGGCCAAACAACATGAAAAAAGCTTATCACTAACCATCAAGGAAATGTAAATAAAAACCACAGTAAGACACCATCGTACACCAGTTAGAATGGCTTTTGTTAAAAAGTAAAATGATAGTAGATATTGGTGGGGTTTTAGAGGGAAAAAACCACTTATACACTGTTTATAGGAATATAAATTAGTTCAGCCACTGTGGAGAGCAGCTTGGAGATTTTCCAAATAACTGAGAGTTGAACTATGATTCAACGCAGCAATTTCACCGCTGGGTGTATACCCAGAAGAGAATAAACTATTCTACCAAAATAGCACATGCACTTGTTGGTTCATCACTGCATTATTTATAACAGGAAAGACATGAATCAACCTACGTGACTATTAATGGTATTTTTTTTTTTTTTAGATGAAGTCTCACTCTGTTGCCCAGGCTGGAGTGCAGTGGCACTATCTCAGCTCACTACAACCTCCACCTCCCAGGTTCAAGCAATTCTCCTGCCTCAGCCACCCGAGTAGCTGGGACTACAGGCTCATGACAACACGTCCGGCTAACTTTTGTATTTTCAGTAGAGACGGGGGTTTCATTATGCTGTCCAGGATGGTCTCGATCTCCTGACCTCATGATCCACTCACCTTGGCCTCCCACAGTGCTGGGATTACAGGCATCAGCCACCGTGTCCAGCCTATTAATGCTAAATTGAATTTAAAAAGTGTCACATGTACAGCAATACTACTTAGCAAAAACAACAACAACAAAAAAAAAACTTGTCCTTTGCAGCAACATTAATACAACTAAAGGTCATTCTACAATCAAATTAATGCAGAAATGGAAAACAAAAATACTGATGTTCTCACTTATAAATGGAAATTAACACTGGGTACACATGGACATAAAAATAAAAATAAAAGACAACTCTTAGAGGGTGGAGAGAGGGAGGGATCAAGAACTGAAAAACTGTCTATTTAGTACTATGCTCACTGCATAAGTGATGGAATTACTTACATTTCAAACCTCAGCACTATACAAAATACCCATGTAAAAAACCTGTGTAGGTACCTCCTAAATCTAAAACAAATTTGAAATTCTAAAAGGCGGTCTTACTCTCTCACCCAGACAGGAATACAATATCATGGTTATAACTCAATGCAGCCTCAAATTCCTGGGAACTCAAGGAATAATCTTACATCAGCCTCCGACTTCCTGAGACTACAGGAACATTCCACCATTCATGATTAATCTGTAAAAATATTTTTTACATATAGCTTCTCACAATATTGCCCAGGGTGGTCTCAAACTCCTAGCCTTAAGTAATTGATATGGTTTGGCTCTCTGTCCCCAACCAAATCTCATCTTGAATTGTAATAATCCCCATATGTCCTGGGAGGGACCATGTGGGAGGTAATTGAATCATGGGGGTGGGATTTTCCCGTGCTGTTCTCATGATAGCAAAAAAGTCTCATGTGATCTGATGGTTTTATAAGTGGAGATTCCTCTGAACAAAGTCTCTTGCTTGCTCCAATAATTGTGAGACCTCCCCAGCCATGTGAAACTGTGAGGCCATTAACCTTTTTCATTATGAATTATCCAGTCTTGGTTATGTCTTTATTAGCTGCATGAGAATTTATTAATACAGTAATCCCCTTGCCTTAGCTTTCAAAGTAGCTGGAATTAGACACACATATCATTGTGCCTGGCTAAAACACCTAGCTTAAAGATGCTCATTCAGCTAAAGAAGAACATAGAAAGCTAAACAGAAAAAGAAAACAATTCATGAAGATAATGAGATTATCAACGAAGTGATTAAAAGTACAAAATAGAAACATAAAGTGTGGAGCTGAAAAATAAAATACCTGAATTTAGAGATTCACTAGAAGGTCCAACAACTGGTTTGATCTAGCAGGAAAAAATCCAGCAAGCTTCATAAGAAGTCTTTTGAAATTATATGGTGAGGAGGGTAAAAATAATTTTAAAAATTAAGAAAGCCTAAGGGACTTATGGGATACCATTAAGATGGCCAATATACTTCTAATGGGAATTCTAAAATAAAAAGAGAGAAAAGAGAGCAGCAAAGTTATTTCAAGAAACAAACAGTGGCTGAGAACTCTCAAAATTTGAGGGAGAAAATGGCCTAAAATTTAATGAAACTTTACCAACTAGTAGCAACACAGGGAGACCCATGACAAGACACATTTTAATCAGAGATTCAAAAGTTAAAACACCGAGAATCTTGAAGTCAGCAAGAAAAAATGACTTAGCATGTACAATGTTACCCCTATAGGATGACCAGCAGATGTCTCAGCCAATAGCATGCAGGCAAGAGGTTGTAGGATGACATACTCAAAGTGCTGAAAAAAATGGCAAGTACCAACCAAGAACACTATGTCTGCCAAAGCTATCATTTCAAATGAATTAAAAAATAAAAATAAAGAATATTCAAGATCAACGAAAACTGTATTAATTTATACACAGTAGGCCTGTATAAAAAAATGCTAGTCATTGACATTAAAAAATAAAATAATGATGAGAGCAACATAGAATTATGTAAAATATAAAGTTTTCTAACAGATAATTATGTACACAATTATAATATTCTTTGTTATTATAATGAAGATGCACAGAATACTTTTAATTCTGCTATGTAGTTGAGATAACAAAGACTTAAAAATGACTATATAACTGTGCCAATAGATTCACAATACAAAATGATGTAATTCGCGACATCAATAAAACACATAGGCAGCCATAAAGAGGCAGGGTTTTATATGCTATAGTAGTTATTTTTGGTAATATCTATAGTAACAACAAAGAAAATACCTATAGTACTTAGGATTTTGAGACTAGTCTGGTCAACATGGCAAAACCCTGTCTCTATGAAAAATAACAAAAATTAGCCAGGAGTACTGGTGCACATCTGTGGTCCCAGGTACTCAGAAGGCTGTGGTGGGAGGATTGTTTGAGTTGAGCCTGAGAGGCAGAGCTTGCAATAAGCAGAGATTGTGCCACTGCCCTCCAGCCTGGGCGACAGAGCAAGACCCTGTCAAAAAAAAAAAAAAAAAGGAAATACCTATAGTACACACACACAAAGACATACACACAGAGAGAGTAGTGAGAAAAGAAGTAAAACATGTCACTACAAAAATCAATAATACGCTAAGAAAGAGAACAAGAGAGAAAAACAGGAAATAATAGCTACAGGACCGGCCAGGAGCGGTGGCTCACGCCTGTAATCCTAGCAATTTGGGAGGCCGAGGTGGGTGGATCAACGAGGTCAGGAGATTGAGACCATCCTGGCTAACACAGTGAAACCCTGTCTCTACTAAAAAAAAAAACAAATAAAAATAAAAATAGCCGGGCATGGTGGCGGGTGCCTGAATTCCCAGCTGCTGGGGAATCTGAGGCAGAAGAATGGCGTGAATCCGGGAGGCGGAGCTTGCAGGGAGCCAAGATTGCACCACTGCACTCCAGCCTGGGCAACAGAGCAAAACTCCGTCTCAAAAGAAAAAGCTACAGGACCTAAAACAAAAAAGAAACAAAATTCAATAGAAAGTCATAGGAAATCATTCCCTTTTAGTAATGATTTTTTATATATATAAATTATGTCAATCAAAAACATACTTTCACTAAATAAATTCATGAAACAAGATTCAACTCTCTGCTTCCTACAAATGACCACATTATGATCTGGAACACGCATAAGCCATACATGAAAGAATAAAAAAAATTAAATGCAAAATCAAATACTGTCATGGTAGACAAAATATATATTATATCAAAAACTTCCTCAAGAGAGAAGAAGAAAAGGACAATAAAAACAACAACAATAAAAGCAACAAAAAACAACATACATCAATAAAAGCAACAACAATAAAACAACATGCAACAATAAAAGCAACAGTAATGTATGTGCCTTACATCACAGTTCCCAAAATATGAAGCAGCATTTTACAGAATTGAAACATGAAGTAGCCAGCACATAACAGTAGATGACTTTTTTATCAGACTTTTAGTAATGTAAATTAAAAAAACAAACATAAGATGAATAAGTAAACAGAGGATTTCAACAACACAATAGAACAATTAGACCTAACAGTCACATTTATATCTCTCCACTCAACAGTAGAATATGCAATACTTTTAATCACACATGCCACAATATTCCAGATAGACCACCTGTTAAGTTAAAAAACACATCTTAGCAAATTTCAGCAGATGGAATTACACAAATTATTCCTAACTATGATACAATAAAACAAGAAGTTAAAAACACTAGCATGTCAAAGAATAAATAAAAATTAAACAACAAATTCTCAAACACACTCTTGTTCAAGAGGTTATAGACTTAATATTGTTAAAATGTCACTACTACCAAAAGTGGTCTACGGATTCAATGTTCTTTCTTTTCTTTTCTTTCTTTTTATTTTGAGACGGAGTTTTGCTCTTGTTGCCCAAGGTGGAGTGCAATGTTGTGATCTCAGTTCACTGCAGCCTCCACCTCCTGGGTTCAAGCTGTTCTCCTGCCTCAGCCTCCTGAGTAGCTGGGAATACAGGCATGTGCCACCACACCTGGCTAATTTTGTATTTTTAGTAGAGATGGGGTTTCTCCATGGCTGGTCTGGAACTCCTGACCTCAGGTGATCCACCTTCCTCAGCCTCCCAAAGTGCTGGGATTACAGGCATGAGCCACAACCCTCAGCTGATTCAATATACTTTCTATCAAAATAACAATGAAACTTTTTGCAGAAGTTTTAAAATATTCTACAATTTTTATGGAATTTCAAGTGATCACAAACAGCCAAACAATATTGGGAAAAAAATATAAAGACAGAGGCATCATACTTTCTATTTTCTAAACATACTACGAACATATAGTAATCAAAACAGTTTGGTACTGACATAAAGACAAATGAATGATGAAACAGATGAGAGAGTCCAGACATAAGTCCTCATGGGTATAGTAAACATATTTTTAAAATGTGTTCCAAGAATCACAAAAAGGAAAGAACAGTCTCTTCAACAAACAGTATTGGGAATAATAAAAATTTACAAGGAAAAAATAACAAAGTTAGACCTTAACTTGCAACAGATAAAAACATAAACTCAAGGCTGGGTGTGGTGGCTCACACCTGTAATCCCAGCACTTTGGGTGACTGAGACAAGTGAATCACAAGGTCAGGATATCAAGACCATCCTGGCCAACATGGGGAAACAACATCTCTACAAAAATACAAACAAAAATTAGTTGGCGGTGGTGGCACACGCCTGCTGTTCCAGACACTCAGGCGGCTGATGCAGGAGAATCTCTGGAATCCAGGAGGCAAGAGTTTCAGTGAGCTGAGATCATGTCACTGTGCTCCAGCCTGGTGACAGAGAAAGACTCCACCACAAATAAAGAAATAAACTCAAAATAACTAATTTTTGGTAGCTATTAAAATGGAATTTAAAATTTTATTTTTCAGATAGTTCACTATCATCATACAGAAAGCTACTACTGTGTTAATTTTCTGCAATGTTACAGAATTTGTTTAGTAGTTCTAATAGTTTTTGGTGTAGTGTTTAGAGTTTTTCACATATAAGATTATTTTGTCCACAATCAGAGACCATTTGACTTCATCCTTTCCAATTAGTATGACTTTTATTTCTTCCTCTTGCCTAATTTCCTTGGCTAGGACTTCCAGTACTATGTTGAATAAGAGGGCTGAAAGTTTGGACGATTTGTCTTGTTCCAGATCTCAGAGAGAAAGCTTTCAACTTTTCCTTATTCAGTATAATGTTAGCATTGCTTTTTCATAAATGGCCTTTATTGAGTTAAGGCACATACCTTCTATTCCTAACTTGTTGAGAGTTTTCATCATAATCAAGGCTGAATTTCATCCAATTCTTCTTCTGCATATGCAAAAGCTACAAAAATTAAAATACTTAATGTGATGGTTAATACTGGCAGTCAAATTGATTGGATTGGAGGATAGAAAGCATTGATCCTGGGTGTGTCTGTGAGGGTGTTGCCAAAGGAGATTAACATTTGAGTCAGTGGGCTGGGAAAGGGAGATCCACTCTTAATTGGGTGAGCACCATCTAATGAGCTGACAGTGAATATAAAGCAGGCAGAAAAACGTGAAAAACAGAGACTGGCCTAAGCTCCCAGACTACATCTTTCTCCTGTGCTGGACACTTGCAGCCCTCAAACATCAGACTCCAAGTTCTTCAGCTTTGGGACATGGACCGCCTCTCCTTGCTCCTCAAACTTGCAGACAACCTATTGTGGGATCTCATGATCTCTCTAGGGAAGCCCAACTAATATACCTAGCAACAAACTTAACTAAAAAGGTAAAAGATCTCTACTCTGAAAACGACAAAACATGGATAAAAAATATAAAATACAAATGAATAAATAAAAAATATTTTGTTTATACACTGGAAGAATACTGTTGATATAGCTACCCAAAGTGATCTACAGACTTAATGTGATTTTTATCAAAATACCAATGACATTTTTTCACAGAAATAAAAAAATTTAAATTTATATGGATCCACAAAAAACTCTGAATAGACAAAGCAACTTTGAGCAAAATAAGCAAAGCTAAAGGCATCACTTCATCAAACTTCAAAACTTGCTATAAAGCTACAGTAACCAAAACAGCACTGTACTGGCATAAAAACAAACACATAGACTAATGTGCCCAATAAGCCCAGAAGTTAATTTATGCACCTAAAGCCAACTGATTGTCAACAAAATTACCAAGAACGCACTTTAGAGAAAAGCTAATCTCTTTAATAAATGGTGCAGGGCCATTTAAATATTTATATGCGGAAAAATAATACTAGACCCTTGTACCTTGCCATATATGATAATCAACTAAAACTAAAGACTTAAATGTAATGCCATCAATTATGAAACTATTAGAGAAAAACATTAAAAAATGCTTTATAACATTGGACGGTGAAAGGATTATTAAAATAAGATTTCAAAACACGGGCAGCAAAATCGAGAATAAACAAACAACATTATGTCAAACTAAAATGCTTTTTCATATTAAAAAAGCAACTAAAAGTTTGAAGAGACAGCTTAGGCGATGACAGAAAATGTTTTCATATACATGTGACAAAAGGCTAATATTCAGAATATATAAGAAACTTTAAAATCTCAAAATAAAATACACTTATAATCTAATTTAAAAAATGCAAAAGATCTTAATAGATGTTTGTCAAAAAGAGATACAAAAAATGGCTAACTGGAACACAAAAAGATGCTCTACATTACTAATCACCAAGGAAATGCACATCCAAACCGTAATGAAGTACCACCTCATTCCCATTGGAATGGCTATAATAAAAATAAATAAATAAATAAATCAAGAACTAATGAGGATATAAAAAAGAGTGGATGTATACCTTGTTGGTGGAATTGTAAATTAGTATGGCCATTATAGAAAATAGTATGGAGGTTTCTGAAAGAAATTAAAAATATATCTATTATATGATCCAGCAATTTTACTTCTGGGTGTATATCCAAAAGAAAGGATATTACTGTGTCAAAAAGATATTTGCATTCCCATGTTCATTACAGAACTATTTATAATAGCTTATATATGGAATCAATTCAAATGTACAGCAACAGATAAATGGATAAGGAAAATGTACTATATATACACAGCGAAATACTATTCAGCCATAAGAAAGGATAAAATTCTGTCAGTTAAAAGAGCATGGATGAACCTTGAGCATACCATGTTAAGTAAAATAACCCACATAGAGAAACACAAATACTTTATGATCTTATTATCTCACTCATTTGAGGAACCTGAAAAAAAGGGTTGATAGAAGCAAAGAGTACAACAGGGGTTACCAGAGACTGAAGCAGGAGGATGGGAAAAGGCTGCTTCACAGGTATTGTGTTATGATTAGATAGGGGAAATAAGTTTTTGTTTTTTATTACACAGTAGAATAATAATAATTAATGAAAAGTTATCTCATATTACAAAATAGCTAAAAGAGACCAGTTGTGGTGGCATATTCTTGCAATCCATACATTTTGGGAGATTGAGGTAGGAGAATCACTTGACGTCAGAAGTTCAAGATGAGCCTGGACAACATAGTGTGACCCCGTCTGTATGAAAAATTAAAACATTAGCCAGGCATGGTGGCAGCTTCCTGTAGTCTCAGCTAATTGGGAAACTAAGGTTAGAAGACTGTTTGAAGTTACAGTGAGCTAAGATTGCACCACTGCACACCAGTCTGGGTGTTAGAGCAAGATCCTGTCTCTAAAAAAATTTAATACGTAAAGATAAAATAAAATAGCTAGAGAAGAAGCTTTTGAATATTCTCACCACAAAAATAACAAATGCATGAGGCAACAAGTATAGAAGTACTCTGATTTTTATTGTTATACAACATATATATATAATTGTTTCCCCAAAATATGCACAATTACATGTGTCAATTTTAAAAAATGAATGAAGACTATAATGTAAAACCTATAGCTGTAAAATTCCTAGCACAATACAGAAGGGTGAAGCTTCATGACAACTGGTCGTGGCAATAATTTGGGGGACGTAACATCAACGGATGAGACAACAAAAGCAAGGGAATACACATGGTACTGAATCAGTGTATGAAAAATATCCCAAACAGACAAAGCAGAACATGGAATAGATATATGCACATTGTAGTATTACTCACAAACATGTTACCTGGAAGCAAATGTACCCTTAAGGATGAGTAGATTCAGCAAACAGGGCACGTACAATCACTGGGATAGCATTCAGCCTTAAAAATAAGGAAATCTTGAAAAGTACTACAATAAGGACAAATATTCAAAACATTCTGTTAAGTAAAATAAGACAGTCAAAAAGGAAAGCTGTATAATTACACTCATGTAAAATATTTAGTCAAACTCAAAGAAACCAAGTGTCATAGTCTCAGCAGTGCACCAAGATGTAACAGTCTCTCGTAGTCTGAGATAACATCCAGAGTTCTTTGTTCTACCTCTAAGGAGATTAAGGAGTGTAAACACAAAGGTGAGGTTGGAGTGAAAGTTTAAGAAGCAAGAGAAGAAAGCTCTTTGCCAGCAGAGATAGGTGTCTGAAAGTGGTGCCCTCTACGAGGCTGGGTCCAGGGTTTTTAAGGACTGGGAAGGGAAGGAAATGTGCCTAGTTCACAGGCTGTCTTGAAAAACGTGTGGCTCAGCTTGGCCCAGGCCTTTGGCCCAGGACCAATCAGGAGCTGAAGGGATGATTGATAGATGCTGCTTAGCTTGGCCCAAGACTTACCAGAAGCTAAGGTGAAAGTTTGGCCAAGGAGCTTGGCACGGGAGCAATCAGGGGCTGAAGTAATTATTCATAGAGGTCAGACTTACAGTCCAAATAAACGAGAGTGTCGACCGGAATGCACCAGATCCCACAGTGCCCATGCCAACAAAAAGAGAAGGAACATTTTCCTGGGAGCCCACTGACTGTACAAAGACAAAGGTGTTTCTTTTTTTTTTCTTTTTCTTGTCTTTCTTTCTTTTTTTTGAGATGTACTTTCTTTTTTTATTTTTTTTTTTTTTTTTGCAGTTTTGCTCTTGTTGCCCAGCCTGGAGTGCAATGGTGCGATCTCGGCTCACAGCAACCTCCACCTCCTGGGTTCTAGCGATTCTCCTGCCTCAGCCTCCCAAGTAGCTGGGATTATAGGCATGCAGCACCATGCCTGGCTAGTTTTGTATTTTTAGTAAAGACAGGGTTTGTCCATCTTGGTCATGCTGGTCTCAAACTCCCGACCTCAGATGATCCGCCCACAGCTGCCTCCGACATTGTTGGAATTACAGGCATGATCCACCGTGGCTGGCCAAACAAAGGCATTTCTGTGCTAGGTCGTTCTTGTTCCTTTATCTGAGTGAGCTGGAGGTTTGTACAAGTTTTTATCCAAATGGGCCAGAGGTTTTTCTATCTCTGCAGCCACGGGCATGTCTCCAAGCACAACAACATATGTTAGTTCCCTTGTTAGTGTCTGCAGCTTGATTTTTTCCAGGCTTCTTTATATGTTATGCAGGGATGAGGCACTGACCAGGGACTTTCCAGGGACTCTTCTCTTGCTATCTACCTAAGGCAAGCTAACTAACTTCTTTCACAAGTAATGAGTATTCACTTTTACTTTTGTAAGACAAAAATTATCTAAAAGCTACTGCAAAACAATAGAACTATACTAACCACTTCTAAACCATATACTTAAAATTTCAGAAATGACAATGGCATGTTTTTAACTACAATTAGAAATTTAAGACTAACTAAAAGGCACAGTTAGAAAACCTTTCAAACATCACCTTCAAATAACAAAGGGTTATTCTCACACAATTATATGGATTTAAACTATATGTTGATTGTAAATTTAAGATTATTTCCCTGATGACTCACCAAGATAGAATAAAGTAATCACAGGAAACCAAGAAAAGAGGGAAATTTATAGCACTAATGTCCACATCAAAAAGCTAGAAAGGGCTGGGCGTGGTGGCTCATGCCTGTAATTCCAGCACTTTGGGAGGCTGGGGTAGGCAAATCACTTAAGGCCAGATGTTCAAGACCAGCCTGGAACACACAGCAAAACCCCACCTCTACAAAAAAAAATTCAAAAATTAGCTGGTTTTTGTGATGCACATCTGTAATCCCAGCTACTCAGGAAGCTGAGACAGAAGAAATCACTTAAAACTGAGAAGTGGAGGTTGCAGTGAGCAGAGATCATGCCACTGTACTCCAGCCTGGGTGACACAGTGAGACTCTGCCACAAGAAAAAAAAGAGAAACTAGAAAGATCTAAAGTTAACAGCCTAACATCTTGATTAAAAGAACTAGAAAACCAAGTGAAAACTAACCAGAAAGGTAGCAAAAAACAAGAAATAACCAAGATCAAAGTAGAGCTGAAGGAGATAGAGACACTGAAAACTCTTCCAAAAAAAAAAGTCAAAAATCCAGGAGCTGTTTTATGAAAAAAATTAATAAACTAAATGGAACACTAGCTAGGCAAATAAATAAGAAAAGAAAGGAGAACCAAACACAATTAGAAATAATAAGGGAGATATCATCACTGATCCCATGGAAATAAGAACAACCATCAGAGAACACTATAAACATCTGTATGCACATAAACCAGAAAATCTAGAAGAAATAGACAATTTCCTTGCAAAATAAACCCTACACAAGATTGAACCCTGAATAGATCAATAATGTGTTCTGAAATTGAGGCAGTAATAACTAGCCTACCAAGCAAGCTGAATTTGACCAGAGGTACAAAGAGGAGATGGTACCTTTTCTCTTAAAACCATCCAAAAAAAATTGAAGACAAAGAAGTTCTCTCTAACTCATTCTATCAGGCCAGCATCATCCAGATACCAAAACCTAACATAGATACTACAACAACAGCAACAACAACAACACATCATGCCAATGTCTTTGGTAAACACTGTGCAAAAATCCTCAATAAAATACTGGCAAACCAAATCCAGCAGCACATTAAAAAGTTCATCCGCAACAATGGAGTTGGCTTTGTCCCCAGGATGCAAGGTTGATTCAACATATGCAAATCAATAAATGTGACTCATCACATAAAGAGAACTAAATAAAAAGCCACATGATTATCTCAATAAATGCAGAAAAAGCATCCAATAAAATTCAGCATTCCTTCAGGTTTAAAATTCTCAATAACCTAGGAAGTGAAGAAACTTACCTGAAAATAATAAGAGCCATATACAACAAACCCACAGCCAATATCATACTGAATGTGCAAAAGCTGGAAACGTTCCACCTGAAAACTGGCACAAGAAAAGAATGCCCTCTCTCACCACTACCATTCAATATAGTATCAGAAGCCTTGGCCAGGAAAATCAGGCCAGAGGAAGAAATAAAGAGTATTCTAATAGAAAGAGAGGAAGTCAAATTATCTTTGTTTGCAGATGACCTGATCCTACATCTAGAAAACCTCATTGTCTCAGGCCCAAAGCTTCTTAAGGTGATAAGCAACAGTAGCAAAATCTCAGGATATAAAATCAATGTGCAAAAGTAGCTAGCATTCCCATACACAAACAACAGGCAAGCAGGGAGACAAATCATGAATGAACTTTCATTCACATTTGCTACAAAGAGAAAAAAATACCTAGGAATACAGCTAAGAAAGAAAGTGAAGGACCTCTTCAAGGAGAACCACAAACAACTGCTCAGAGAAATCAGAGTGGACACAAAACAGATGGAGAAATATTCCATGCTCATGGAGAGGAAGAATCAGTATCATGAATATGGGCATATTGCCCTAAGTAATTCATAGATTCAATGCTATTCCCATTGAACTACTGACATTCTTCAGAGAATTAGAAAAATAAAAACTTTTAAAGTTCATATGGAACCAAAAAAGAGCCCAAATAGCCAAGCCAACCTTAAGAAAAAAAAAAAAAAGCTGGAAGCGTCACTCTACCTAACTTCAAACTATACTAGAAGAGTACAGTAACAAAAACAGCATGGTACTGGTATAGAAACAGACACATAGACAAATGAAACAAAGTAGAGAACCTAGAAATAAAGCCAAAAACCTACAACAACCTGATCTTTGACAAAGTTAACAAAAACAAAGAATTAGGGAAAGGTCTCCCTATTCAAAAAATGGTGCTAGGAGAACTGGCTAGCCATATGCAGAGAATTTAAACTGGAACCCTTCTTAACACCATGTACAAAAATTAACTCAAGATGGATGAAAGACTTAAATGTATAACCCAAAACTATAAAACCCTTAGAAGAAAAAATCTAGATAATACCATTCAGGATATAGGCATGAGAAAAGACTTTATGACAGAAAGGCAAAAAGCTATAGCAACAAAAGCAAAAATTGACTAATAGGGTCTAATTAAACTAAAGAGCTTCTGCGGAGCCAAAGAAACTATCATCAGAGCAGACAACCTAGAGAATGGGAGAAAAATTATGCAACCTATCCATCTCACAAATGTCTAATATCCAGAATCTAGGAGGAATTTAACAAAATTTACAAGAGAAAAAAAAAGGCCCCATTAAAAAAGGGTCAAAGAACATGAACAGACGTATCTCAAAAGAGGACATACATGTGCCCAACAAACATGAAAAGCTCAACATCACTGATAACTGGATAAATACAAATCAAAACCATAATGAGATACCATCTCACACAAATTATAATGGCTATTAATAAAAAGTAAAAAAAAAAAAAACAGGTGCTGGCGAGGTTGTGGAGAAAAGGGAACACTTTTACACTGTTGGTGGGAGTGTAAATTATTTCAAGCATTGAGGAAGAGAGTGTGGAGATTCCTCAAAGACCTAGAAGCAGAACTACCATTTGACCCAGCAATACCATTACACCCAAAGGAAAATAAATAATTCTATTTTAAAAATACATGTATACAAATGTTCATTGCAGCACTATTTACAATAGCAACATCATGTAATCAATCTACATGCCCATCAATGATACACTGGATAAAGGAAATGTGGTACACATACACCATGGAACACTATGAAGCCATAAAATGTAATGAGATGATGTCCTTTGCAGGGACATGGTTGGAATTTGAAGCCATTACTCCCAGCAAACTAATGCAGGAACAGAAAACCAAACACCACCTATTATTATTCTAACTTATTAGCAGAAGCAGATCAATGAGAACATATGGACACATCAGGAAGAACAACACACACTGGACACCTGTTTCATGGCATGGGGGAGGGGAAGGAGAGCATCAGGAAGAATAGCTGCGGATGCTGGGCTTGGTACCTGGGTGATGAGATGATCTGTGCAGTAAACCACAGTGGTACGCATTTATGTATGTAAGAGACCGGCATACTCTGCACATGGACCCCTAAACTTAAAATAAAAGTTGAAAAATAAACTTTATCACATATGGACCCCTGAACTTAAAATAAAACTTGAAAAAAAAAATGTGTTTCTGGTGGATTCTCTATGTTAGACCCAAACTGAGGATCTTGAAGCTCTCGCTGGGGGAATCGGGGATGGGGGCACACTGGGGAGCCACTGCCAAGGCCAACCACCCTCCCTACAAGCCACCTCCCTTCCCGGCCAGTATGGAAAGGAGAAGGGGTATGTGAACAGCTGTGGAGGTCAGAATCTCGGGAACTGAATCAGGCCCCAGCCGATGCCCCCCAGCCCAGTCCAGCCAGCGTGCTTGCCAGTCTTCCCACCCAGCCAGCCCAGCCCTCAGGATTGTTAGATGGAACAAGGCTCCATCATCACCCAGGCATGGAGGGAAGATGCCCTGGTCCTTACCAAGCAAGGCCTGGTTTCCAAAGTCCTCTCGGAAGAGGCCTCATGTTTGCCACATCTTAAAAGTCCCCTTTCTGCTGTTCTTGCACCCAGCATGTTGGACAGTTAAGTTCCCCCGCTGAGCAATCCACACATAAGGAGGGAGTCAACACCATTGCTATGTCGGATCAGCTCCAGCGTCTCCAATATCAGTTTTATCAGATCCCAGGAACCTGCCTGCTCCCAGAGGTGACAGAGAAAAATCAAGGAAGGATCTGTATGGCCACTGACCTGGATGAAACCCTTGTGCATAGCTCCTTTAAGCCAATCAGCAATGCTGACTGCCTAGTGCCTGTAGAGCTTGAGGGGACCATGCACCAGATCCATGTGCTCATGAGGCCTTATATGGATGAGTTCCTGACATGAATGGAGGAAATGTTTAAATGTATTTCGTCATTGCTCTCTTCTTCCCAGCCTGAACAAGTAGGCAGATCCTGTGAAGGGTGAGCTGGACGGGTATGGGATGGTCTGGGGCTGCCTGTCCCATGAGTCATGTTTGTTTCACCAGGGCTGCTATGTCAAGGACATCAGCCATCTGGGGAGGGACCTGAGGAAAACTCATCCTGGACAACTCGCCTGCTTCTTACATCTTCCACACAGAGAATGCAGTGCCTGTGCAGTCCTGGTTTGATAACATTCCAGACAGCAGCAGCTGCACCTGATATCATTCTTTGAGGAGATGAGTGGAGGAGCAGAGGGTGTCTACACTAGCCTTGGGCAGCAGTGGGCCCTTAACCTTCCCTGCTTCCCAGCAATGGCCATCACAGTAGGGGATTTTCCCACACTGTGCCTCTATGATCAGCCTGAAAGAGTGAAGGCTGGAACACCTACCCACATGGGCCTGAAAAGAGTGAGAAGTGATTGAAAAGAGCTTTAGGACAGCTTAGATTCCCAGTGGGTGAATGCCAGACCAAGGATACCCAGAGCTACCTGCCATCAAGTTGTTGGGTTCCCAAGATGTGGGTGTGAGAGAAAGAAAGAGAGCATGTGTGTTTTGTGATGAACTGTGGCCCCAAGTATATAGTGTTTCAGTAGGGGAGAAGCTGAAGGACAAAGACTCTTCCCAAGCTAGCTTGTCTCCTCTCCTGTCACCCTATGAGCCCCTGAGATCCATAGGGATGAAGAGTATTGAAGGCTCCATTGCAAACCTGGTCTTTCTACAGTGCTACAAGGCCTATGCCAAAGAGAAAGGAAAGGTACTTCTTTGGGTGTTCCAGGTACACATCTTTCTGAAATATTTCTCCAGCCAGTTGTTGCAGACAAAAGACGACATTTCTGGGAAGATGGGGACTTATGTTCAGACGAGTACCCAAACTATCAGGTCTTCTGGTCCAAAGGCTATTTTTACTTACCTCTAGCCAAGTGCCTGGGATGGATCCTTCCTGCATCTCCCCAAGGCTCACCACTTAGCCATAGCCTCAAACCCGTGGGGAAGGAAGGTCTACCCGCCCTGCAAGAGGACAAATAACTGATTTTTGTTCATTTGACTCTGTTTTAAAATTCTCTTTAAAAAAAAAAAACAAAAAAAAGAAAAAGAAAGCGTATCTGAAACTTAAAAAAAAAAAACAAGGAAAAAAGATGAAAAAAATGACATACATAGGTGAAAAACACATAGATATATGTATAAGCAACAAACACGGCTAATTCACATATAAATTAAATATCACATTGTCATAAAGTGTACCGAGTTAAAAAATTATCATTCAACTCATGATATCAAGCTTTAAAAGCAAAAATACAATTAACTGATCTGAGAAAACATACCCCCCAAGAAAAGAAACACAACAACACAGAATTGAACATAAGAAGAGAGATTAAATGCAAAAAATCCTGAATACAACATAAATATACAATGAAAAATAAGCCCTTTTTTTTTTTTTTTGAGACAGAGTCTCACCCTGTCGCCCAGGCTGTAGTGCAGTGGTGCCATCTCAGCTCACTGCAAGCTCCGCCCACTGGGTTCACACCATTCTCCTGCCTCAGCCTCTCGAGTAGCTGGGAATACAGGCACCCACCACTATGCCCGGCTAATTTTTTCTATATTTAGTAGAGACGGGGTTTCACCGTGGTAGCCAGGATGGTCTTGATCTCCTGACCTCGTGATCCACCCACCTTGGCCTCCCAAAGTGCTGGAATTACAGGCGTGAGCCACCATGCCGGGCTGAAAAATAACCCTTTAGATATCTACAGCTTTAAACTGTGTGCAGTCATGAAAAGCAGACATTGGAAGTCATTGGCATTTAATAAATTGCAGAAAAATTATACAGTAAATACATTACAATCATTAATAATAGGCTCTAATGAGAAGAATTTAATAAATAATCATTAAAAAGACAGCAGAATTTTATCTGTTCTCAATATGTTGCTGCTCTTCTTATCAAATACTATAATAAAACTATATGACTATAATATAGCTTTCAGGAGCTAAAAAAAGCCTTATATTTTCAAATAAAAGAACAATATAAATTTTGCAAAATACAATGAGCATTACTGAAGTATAAAGTAAATATTTGGAATTAAAATATATGGTCATTTAGATACAGACTAAAAAAGAATAGAAATCTTAATGATTCCTTTCTGCCTACAGTGAGCTTAAAATTACAACCAAAAATTGTAACAAATATGTAGCACCTACAAGAAATTTTATTAACAGCTTACATAATGTGTAAATTTGAGCAATTTATTTTAGAACTTTTGAATCTGAAAATCACCTGCTTGACATTCATTTGAGAAAGTGAAACATAAAGGAGAGTAACATAAGCAAGACGACAGAATGTGAGGTTCTGCATCCACATCCCCCACGACATAATGCAGCTGCCACAGCAAACATAAGTGCATTCATGAAAGCCTTGGAATCCAGTTCAGAGTTTGTGGCACCCAGCTGGAGGCAAAGACCAAGGAAGACATTTTCAGAGGGTGAGCACTTGACCAAGTGGCAAGCTTGCCAATCATGGTCCCGGCTTCAAAACAGAATACTGCCACATCTTACTGTAGACTTGGCTATAACTCATTTGACCTTGGTCCTGCCACTGCAACAATCTGTGAAAAACACAAGAGAATTCATACTCACCTGAGACTTAGGTGACAGGCCTGCAGAACTTGGTTCTCTCTATAGTCACTGAGTCAGGCAAAACACACCTTCTTTCCTTCTCCAGCCATGGTCTGGAAGAAATCTTCACATTGATATGATGAAATGCTAACTAACAATATGAAAAATACTAAAGTATAAATGTCACTAAAATGGTAAATACATACTGAATTTCAGAATACTATAAATTGTTATCATCTTAAACTAGACTATTAAAATACAAGATGTTTTACCTAAGTCTCATGATAACCACTAGGAAAAAAAAACTGCAGTAAAGAAAAAGAGAAAGTAATTAAAGCATACACAAACAACAAAAATTACACATTGGATATGGTGTCTCCTGCTTATAATTCCAACACTTTGGGAGGCCAAGGTGGAAGGATGAAATCTCCTTGGGTGTTGCGGTACGTGTCTGTAGTCCAAGCTACTTGGGTGGCTAAGGTGGGAGGATTATTTGAGCCCAGGAGGTTGAAGCTACAGTGAGCTGTGATATGCCACTGCACTTCAGTCTGAGCAAGAAAGCATAACTTTGTCTCAACAAAAATGAACAATACCACAGGAAAGACAGAACCAGAAAAAAAAGAAGCAAACTTAAAATGGACAGAAAACTACAAATTTACAATAGTAACTCCTTACCTATCACTACCTTACAAATAAAAAGATTAAAGTATCTACTAAACAGATACTGCTGTACACTGAATGTCATCTCCAAAATTTAGGATAAAATTTAATAGCCAACATGTTAGAATTAAGAGGTGGAACCTTTAAAAATTAATTAAGCTCTAAGAACTCTGCCCTCATGAATGGATTAATGTTCTTATTATGGGAATGGGCTAATTATAACAAGAATGGATCTGTTATATATTAAAAAAAAAAGCTCTCTCTCCCTCACATCTTTGTCTATGTTATTATCCAGCAACTAGACCTTCAACATATACCAGTATCATGTTGTTTTGGCTTCCCAGCCTCCAGAATCATAAGTCAAATAAAATTCTATTCTTTATTAATTACCAGTGTGTGATATTCAGTTATAGCAGCCAAAAGAGACTAAAGCAGACAGAGTGGATAAATTAATCGTTTAAACCTCGTAATATGCTGCTTACAAGAGACTCAATTATGAATTAAGAGCATAGGCTAAAAGTGAAAGGATAGAAAATGATATTCCATGCAAACAATAACCAAAGGAGTGCAACGGTAATGCTTAAATTAGACAAAATAGACTTTCTAGCAATGTCTCTCACAAGCATGAAATGAGTTTACCATAGAATAATAATAGAGGTTAATTTCTCAAGAGAATATAGCTTTATATATTTATGCACACAAAAGGGAGGCTTCTAAATATAAAAAGGAAATATTGCCAGAACTGTAGGGAGAAGTAGAAAGAAACCAAATAATAGAAAACTTTAATGAAATGTATAATAAAGGACATATAGTTAACAGCATTGTAAATTGGCAAGGGAAAGCTGGTCTCATGTGTTGCGTTTGAGAATGCAGCAAAGAAAGTGGGAACTGATAATTTTACTGCAAGCCTGAGTTAGGATGAAAAACAGGGTGGTCGATTAGAGGTTCCACTTGCCATACATTAAAAAAACACAGGAGAAAACCAGTCCTCCTCTGGAGTGTTAAAATAATTAAAGATCAGAAAATTAGTCTAAAGTGGCTCTAGTGCCCTGTGTTCATAGGTAAAAAACAAAAAACAAACAAAAAAAAATCTAAAACCTAACTCAAATATATTTCCTATAAAACACTATCTTAGCCTGAAGCAAAATGCAGGTTTAACCCATGACAAACATGCAATTAACCTCTGAATATGTAACCAGGACATTTCCATCTGGATAGTTCAAATAAGGCTACCATATAACTGGAACCAATTCTTGAATTTGGGTTGCTTTCTCATGCATCTTATAAAAGCCTTTCCTTTATGCCCCTCTGGTGGACCAGAAATCATGGCTGGGTGCTTTCCATTTCACCAATCACTGTTTGTTCAGATAAACTGATGAACCTTTTAACATAGACTCCCGTTAATTTTTAACAAGAGAGACTGGGGACCCCACGGGCCGCAGCTCCTCCCACGCAAACACCCAGTCGCGGTTTTTCCCTGATGACCCACCAGGCCTCCCTGAACAATCTGGGAAATACTCATGGCTGTGGGCGCAGAGCAGGGCGCTGCCCAGGGACAGCACCGGATGGGCCAGGCCGGATGTGGGGGTCCTCGATGCTGGCCCAGCGGCCATCTTGCAGCCACAGGGGACTGAGGGCCAAGCTGCGGGAGACTCGGAGCTAACCGTGGGGAGGCCGGTCCTGCCGGTTTCACAGTCTGTTCTCCCCTCTCGGGATGGCGAACCCCGTATACTCACCATTTCCCAGCTTCCAGGATGTCCTGGCACCTTGACTATGCGTCCCCAAGGACCTACAGATCACAGGGCAACAGGGGCTGTGGGAGAGTAGCCCAGGGCTCTCAAGGTGCAGGAGGCGAAAGAGGAGACAGATCCCAAGCTCCTGTGCCAGCACCAGCGAGAGACACAGATCCCGCCAAATGCAGGAAGCCACGCCCTCCTTTCCTCTCCTCTGCCACAGCGCGCCTGATTGGGCGGTTCCCACATCAGTGTCAATGACTGGATAAAACTCCAGGACGCACCCACCCTCGCCTGACTCCTGCCCTTACCCCCACTCCCCCTCAGACTTAGTGCACTTTTGTTAGTTTGTTTTTAAGTTCTGGAATACATGTGCAGAACGTGCAGGTTTGTTACATAGTTTTACATGTGCCATGGTGGTTTGCTGCACCTATCAACCTGCCATCTAGGTTTTAAGCCCCATATGCATTAGGTATTTGTCCTAATTTTCTCCCTCCCCTTGACCTCAACCCCTTAACAGGCCTTAGTGTGTGATCTTTGGCTCCAGGTGTCCATGTGTTCTCATTTTTCAACTCCCACATATGAGTGAGAACATATGGTGTTTGCTTTCCTGTTCCCGTGTTAGTTTGCTGAGGTTAATGGTTCCCAGCTTCATCCACGTCCCTGCAAAGGACATGAACTCATTCTTTTTATGGCTGCATATTATTTCATGGTGTATATGTGCCACATTTTCTTTTTCCAATCTATCAATGATGGACATTAGGGTTGGTTCCAAGTCTTTGCTATTGCAAACAGTGGTGCAATAGACATATGAGTGCATGTGTCTTTATGCTAGAATGATTTATATTCCTTTGGGTATATACCCAGTAATGAGATTGCTGGATCAAATGGTATTTCTGGTTCTAGATCCTTGAGGAATCACCACACTGTCTTCCATAATGGTTGAACTAATTTACACTCCCTCCAGCAGTGTAAAAGTGTTTCTATTCCTCCACAGCCTCACCAGCATCTGTTGTTTCCTAACTTTTTAATAACTGCCATTCAACATGGTGTGAGAAGGTATCCCATTGTGGTTTTGATTTGCATTTCTCTAGTCTCCAGTGATGATGAGCTTTTCTCTTTTTTGTGTTTGTTGACCACATAAAGGTCCCCTTCTTCTTCTTCTTCTTCTTCTTCTTCTTCTTCTTCTTCTTCTTCTTCTTCTTCTTCTTTTTTCTTCTTCTTCTTCTTCTTCTTCTTCTTCTTCTCCTTCTCCTTCTTCTTTTTCTATTTATTTTACTTATTATTATTATTTTTAAGATGGAGTCTTGCTCTGTCACCCAGGCTGGAGTGCAGTGGAAGGATCTCGGCTCACTGCAACATCTGCCACCCAGGTTCAAGTGATTCTCCTGCCTTAGCCTCCCCAGAAGCTGGGATTACAGGTCACCCGCCAACACATCCTACTAATTTTTTGTGTTTTTAGTAGAAATGCGGTGTCGCCATGCGGCCCAGGCTGGTCTTGAACACCTGACCTCATGATCCACCTGCCTCCACGGCTGAAAGTGCTGGGATTACAGACTTGATCAACCGCGCCCAGCCAAATATCTTCTTTTGAAAAGAGTCTGTTTATATTCTGTGCCCACTTTTTGATGGTTTTTTTTTGTGTGTGTGTGAATTTGTTTAAGTTCTTTGTAGATTCTGGATATTAGACCTCTGACACATGGATAGAGTGCAAAAATTTTCTTTCACTCTGTAGGTTGCCTGGTCACTCTGGTGATAGCTTCTTTTGCTGTGCAGAAGCTCGTTAGTTTAGTTAGATCTCATTTGTCAATTTTAGCTTTTGTTGTGATTGCTTTTGGTATTTTATTCATGAAGTCTTTGCTCATGCCTATGTCCTGAATGGTATTGCCTAGGTTTTCTTCTAGGGTTTTTATGGTTTGGTGTTTTACATTTAAGACTTTAATCCATCTTAAGATAATGTTTGCATAAGGTGTAAGGAAGGGGTACAATTTCTGTTTTCTGAATGTGGCTAGCCAGTTCTTTCAGCACCATTTGGTAAGTAGGAAATCTTTCCCCATTGCTTGTTTTTGTCAGGTTTGTCGGAGATCAGATGGTTGTAGATGTGTGATGTTATTTCTGAGGCCTCTGTTCTGTTCCATTTGTCTATATATCTGTTTTGGTATCAGTACTGTGCTGTTTTGGTTACTGTAGCCTTGTAGTATAGTTTGAAGTCGGGTAGCAGGATGCCTCAAGCTTTGTTGTTTTTGCTTAGGATTGTTTTGGGTTGACAGGCAAACAGGCTCCTATATTTGGGGTCACGTGCCCAGAGTATCACAGCTAATTCAGACGTGAGCTGAGACTTGAAATGCACGTGCTCTTTCCCTTACCTGGGTCTGTTGTATAATGCATCTTAGCAGCTATGTAACAGTACGAATTAGAATATTTAGACATCTTTTTAGCAACTTTTTAACCTGCATTTTTGTAACGCGGTAAAGACCTTCATCCCATCCCTGAGCCCCTCTCTCACAACACTGCACCCCACTGCTGACCACACTGTTGTGTGACCATTAGGAATCAGGGGGGCAGCGGGGGCTGGAAATAAATAAGAAAGGATTATGTTTCCCAAATTTGCTCACCTTAGAAAGTCTCCTCAACCATTCTGTGTGAGGTGATTTTTCCAAGGTAATTGTGCCCTGACTGCGCTGGATGTCAGTGTGTCTTGTCTTTTTGAAAATCACTGGATTACTCTCATGAACGGGGTATTTCTCTTTCTATTTGAAAATGGTCAACTGTCCTCTGCAGGTGTCCTGACTTGCTAGTTTAGACCCTGAAGGTAGCGGTGAGAAAATATTTGGGCCACATCAGAATACCTATTCTCAGCTGGAGGATATATAGAAATTTCTTAATAATATCTAACCATTTTCTCAATAACCATTATATTTAACATTGATAGCTTGGAGGGCAGGGAAGGACACAGATGACACAATCTTCAAAGTTTAATTTAGTTATAAGGTTTTTTTTTTGTTCTTGCTTAGTTTTGCTTAGTTTTTGGATACAAGGTCTTGCTCTGGTGCCCAGGCTGGAGGGCAGTGGCATAATGATAACTCATAATTTGGTTGTAACGGTTCTTTAAAATATATTTTTGCTGAGAGTGCTAGCTCATACCTGTAATCTAAACACTTTGGGTGGCCAAGGTGGGATGATCGCTTGATCCCAGGAGTTCAAGACGAGTCTGAGCAACATAAGTAGGCTCAGTCTCTAGAAAAATATTTAAAAATTGTCTGGGTGTAGCTTTGCATGCCTGTAGTCCCAGCTACTTGAGAGGCTGATTTGAAAGCATCACTGGAGCCTAAGAATTTGAAGATGCAGTGACCCATGATTCAGCCACTGCATTGACAGAGTGAGATATGTGTGTGTCTGTCTGTGTGTGTGTATAAAGAATTTGTATGTGAAAAAAATTCAAGCACAGGAGAAAAGTGAAAGCCCATGGTGGGGGATGTGGAGAAAGGTCACTGTGGCTCCAGCAACTCAGTGAGACTTGGTTTTCCATCTTGAAGAATTGCCCATCCACACTGACACCATAGCCTAACATATGCCAGTTCTCACACTACACCTGCTGGGATACCAGTATGTAGCCTTTTGAAAAAAATAAAATCTTTCACCTAAGAGAAGGACAAGAGAAAACGAGGGTTTCACATCTAAAGCCTTCATTTTCTTTATGAATCAACAGCCACTTGTCATTTCAATTGTCCAGAGGCGACTGACAGCACTAATACACTTAATGAATCAACCAGGAAAAATGGGCCTCTCAGGTGAGGAGGAGGCACAATCGTCACAAAACCCAATCCGTTCTCAGCTTTGCATGGTGCTCGCATCTCAAGAAGTGGTGTTAGCCATGTGAACCGTGTTCACTGGACAAGGCCAGAGGAAAGAATATGTAGTACAACACAACTATGGGGCTGCAAATCAAACTGGTAGTGAGAGCATGCATGAGGCTTCAGTGGCCGAGACACTGGTGGCTACCCTTCGGTGTCACTTAAATCTTTGAGGTGAAGGACATCTTTTTCCCAACTGGCTCAGAGAAACTAATCAACATTAAAATTGAGATTTGTTTTTCTTTTCAAAATTTCTAAGACATAGAGGACTCTCTAACACTCCAAAAGACATTCAGCTATACATGCAGCTGAGGACCTGCCTGCTCTGTAGAGGGATGGCAGAGCAGCAGCCACCAGCTTTAGTAGCTTTAAGCTCCTCTTCTCATAGGAACAGGCCACCCCCACACAACCCCCCTAACTTCATAGGCTCTGGCTGTCAGGTGCACCTGGGGGACTGTCTTCCTCCCATCTCATTAGCTCTCGAAGACAGTTCAGCTCAATGTAAAACCTACCTTAGGATGGTGAGTTGTAGGCTCTCCTCTATTCTCCCAGCGCAGTGTGACTTCTGGAGAGTGCTTCTCCATCCTCTTACCTCAGATGATGTGAAAAGAGCCGGTTCCCGGGCAGTTAGATGTTCAGTGACATAACAGGCCCAGCATGCGCAGGGCCTGGCCCCACAACCTGGCACCTCTCCCTTACCTGGCCTTCAGGCTGGACTTTTCTCTTCTGCCACAAATGTCAGGTGATGATCACCTCTGCCACACTCTCATGAGCTTGGTAAGTATCAGGGGTGTAAACCCCAACAGATTTCCTGTGACTCTACCCTCTTACCACCCACTCAAGTGACATTATAAGCATAATTTTACATTTGATATTATTTATGCGTAATTTTTTTTATAACATTTCTGACAACAGCCCACACAACGAAATGAGTCTGGGTTACAGAACACACGGGCGAGGCTGGGGTAGCAGGCTTCAATTACTTTATTCCAATGTGAAATGAAGATTGATGATTTAAAAACAAGACAAAGTTGTTTATCAGCTGTGGGGTGGCTACACTTGCTAGCTCATGCTCACTTTCTTTGAAACAAGGTATCTGTACAGACCATACTCATAAGTAGCTCTTCACAAAACCCCAGACAGAAGTCCCAGTCAGACACAGCTCCCTCAGGCTCACAGGGCAGCAACCTCCTCCTCCATGTTAGGCTCTGACAGCAGGCAAGGGAAGAAGCACAGGCAGCAGGGGACAGGGAGATGTCCCGGACTGTAGGGATCCCCAAATGCCCCAGAGCTATTATCTGTAGAAGGGTGCACGCAGGTCTCACTCTGACAGTGCAGTGGCTGAATCATGGGTCACTGCAGCCTCAAACTCTTAGCCTCCAGTGATGCTTTCACCTCAGCCTCTCAAGTAGCTGTATGGCAAAAAGCCTCCTATTTTTTTACTTAAAACCTGGACTTCAAGCCAGGTTGGACCTGGGGATAGTGGCAGCAAAAGCAGCAGCCAAATGTATACACTCCAGATGTCTACACTCATGGGCACAGGCATATTCCACTCTTGCTGGAGCACGAGAGGCCTGAGAGGCACCTGTTTCCCAGTTGCTAACTGATGCCCACACACCCCATTCACGTGTCTTCATTTAGGTCTCTGCATCGTGTATTCCCTCAGCCAGTGCAAACACATCTTCTGGGGGGCATCATTAATTGCAGCACCTGCCCCTCTTGTTCTGGGAGGGAGTCAAGAGGAATCTGGTCAGCTCCTAATCCCCCAGGACAAAGGTGCTGCCCCCTTTTCAGCACTCACATCCAGCAATGCCATCTCTGGATGGGTTTTTCAAACACAAGTAGCATGAGGTAGCAAGCATGGTGTGACAGGCTCAGGGCCATGGGCAGCCGGTTGCTGGAGAAGCAGCACAGGGCAGGCACATCTGTGGGTGGCACCATGACAAGCCAAGGCAGCCACAGCCCCTAATCCCAACAGCTCCAGCCCAGTTGGCATTCAAATCTTCCCAGATAGTATTGGGGTACGCGATGCCCATCACTCGCCCGCTCATTAGCACGGCCTTGTTGGTTACTCAGAGACTAAGGAGAGAGAGTGGGGGATGTAGATCCAGGGTGGGCACCGCCTTGCAGCCAGAGTCCACCTGACTGCAGGCCAGCAAGCAAGCCCAAGCAGCTCAGCTCTAGTCACCTCTGGCTGTACTTTATGTGTATACTTTACACAAAGGTAGCAAACAGAGGTCAACATTAGCTGTTGTGACATGAAAGTCTATGCCTCATTAAGACCTTAAAATGCTGTTGTCTTAAGCTCTCTTTATTCCACTAAAATTTATACAAATAAACACATGCAAGCTGAAACTACTATAAAGGAAATATTAGGATTTTTTAAACCCATAAACAGACATGAAAACAGTCACTGTTTGATTGCAGAGAAAGTGAGCTTCTAAAGCAGCTGACCACAAAACAGCCTCACCAAACCCCAGGCAGGCCAGGCAGTCTGAACACTACAAGGCCACGTGATGGTCACAGAGGATGACAGCTCCCGTGAGTATTGCAAGGCACTGTGTTAGCTTCTCACTCACAGTCTCAGAATACCCTGTGAGGGGAGGCCCCGTCTCACTAGAGCACAGGAGGTTCCTGAGCTCTTCCCAGAAAATGGTCATCAAACGATGGAGCAGAGGGAAGCCCAGACAGAACAAGCGAGTCCCTAGGGTCTCCTTAACCTCCCTCAGCTCCTCCACATGGGTCCCTGAGGGAAAGTGAGCAGCCTCCTAACCCCCTTGATAGGGTTCCAGTCCTGCAGGTCGGACTCTCTCATTTTATGCTACCATAGGGGGTGACAATGCAACCCCAGGCCCCTTATTTGCCATCCCTCAATGCCAGGCCAGGCCCAGAGCCCTTTGCTAACACAGCCCAGGGGATGCTCAAGGCCCACCTCGGCACAGTCACCTGTAGTGTACTGAGATGAGCAAGGAGGTGCAAGTAGACACAAATCCCCATGGGCTTGGCCTCAGCCATGTTCCACAGGCTCAGGGCCTCGCAGATGAGCTCACAGCCCTCCTTCAGGAAGCCTGCAGATCACACCCTCAGGGAGCAGTGCTCAGATGAGCAGGCAGGCCCCACATCCCCCACCCCATGACGCTCTGTTCCACTTTGCAGGCTTCTGCATTGGCCAGTCCCCACTGCTTTCTGGTGAGATGTCCGAGTTGAAGTGAATGTTGAAGGCCACACAGCTGATGGAGCTCACTGCCTTGCACATGTTGTAAATCACCTCCTGGCTTCAAGGGTCAGCTGTGGAGACACAGCTTGATGGGAGGTAGGCCCACTCCACCATCAGTGGTGCTGGGTTGCCCTGATCTGCACCTTCCAGATACTTGCTAAGATATCTGCATGCTTCTCTAAGGGACTGGGTCACGAGACACCCCTGGCAAGGACCAGCTGGCAGAACAGGCTGGACACTCTCCCTCAGCCTCCCCAGCAGCCCCACCTGTGCTGTCATCTGTGCTGATGATCTCCGTGGTAAGATTATGGGAAACTTTTACAGCAAGTTTTCCTTTCTCACTTCCCTATCTTAATAACAGCACTGATAACTTTTAAGCCCTAGCAAGCTGAAACTGCAAGACACATGATCTTCTGCCTTAGAAGGGCCATGTTTGGGCAGTGGGTGCCCAGGTGAGAGCCCCATGGTTGTTAGTGGCAGCCGGGAGCTGGATGGGCCTGCCCCATAGCCTAGTGAAAAGTGGGACCCTCTCCTTCCAGAGCATGGAAGTCTCAGAGGCTGGAAAAAGGTGCCTAAGTGGCCTGCCAAAAAGCATAAGGCTAGAAGGCCTGGAAAGAGCCCCAACAGCCTTCAAGCTGCCTGAGAGGGCTGGGCTCATTCCAGCTTTCTTTGCTTTCATCCTGTTAGCAAGAAAACCTGCTCACAGATGGCAGGCGGGCCTGAGGCTGCCATTCCCTCATCAGGGGCTATAGGCACCTTTAATGTGGCTCTTTCTTGAAGCAGCTGCTCAGGCCGGTTCTCGAAGAGCAGTTCCCTCATTATCCACAGGTCCTTCTTCCAGCCCCGTGTCTGCAGAGGGACTAGGGAGGGAGACAAGGGCTCAGCCTGTGCCCCACAACCTGCTTTGAGACATCTCTTTTGTTACTTCCTCACAGACAGCCTGAAACTTCCAAATGAACAGACCAGAATGGAGCCTCCAGGAAAGTGTACAGAATTCTGTCTAGTACCCAGAAGGAAGGGGGTTCCCAGTGAAGGCAGGGCCAGGCTGCATGCACCTCTTCAAAAATGTTCTCCTCATAGTCCACGCTCAAGGTGTACATCCTCTGTGTGCTTGCAGTCCATGGCAGCCTCTGCCTTGGGAACAGTCCAGCTGCACACCTGCAATATGGTGGTGACCCTCTTGAATGGATGGTTCTGGGCCCCATTGCAGACAGCAGATAGGGAGATGCTCAGCCCATCAAGCCCAGAGCCCTGCCACAGGCTTCTGTGAGGCCTCCACCTGCTCTGGGTTCTTGCCCTGAGAGGCTGCCCTGAAGTCAAACAGAAGCAGGTGGGACTCTCTTCCACAGCTGCTCTCTCTCCCACTGACAGCTCCCTAGAGGGTAACTCAGACAGAGAAGATAGAATTCTCAGGCAGAAGGACAGGAGTTTCGGCTGCCGATTCATTCCATACCCCCACATGACATGACACAAGGCAGGGGCTGTGGGACAAAGGCATTGCCTTTCCTTCTGGCAAGAGGAATGCCTTAGGAAGCAGGTCTGGTGGGGCTAGGGTTGAGCGATAGGCTTCAGGCCACAAGGAGTGGATGGACACTGAGCAAGTATCCTGGTTATCTGTCCACAGATCCAGAACAAGTGGCATCCCAGGAGCCTGGGAGGGGCTGGCAGAGACTTACTGTGTCCAGCAAAAGCCCCATGTGGATGCGGTAATGCTGCCTGCTGGTCCTTGTCTGTAATTACAAACAGGTACATGAGGTCCCCATGGATCTTGCAGCTCTCAGGGAGTGGGTTCCAGCTGCTCATGTTAGGCACTTTTAGTCACTGAACGTGCTTCAGGAATGGCCAAGTTTGATTAAGCCAGGCGTCTTGCTGTGAGACCCTCCACCCAACTGAGGACCCTCTTCCTTGTCCCCCCTGACAGTTTACCTTCCAGTTCTGGTTCTGGAGACACGATGGCCCTTCTTGGGCCCCTGGGAGAATGTGCTCAGATGACACACAGTCGACAGGGCCCATTTCCAAGCCATTCTTCCATTTCCCACTGTTTGAGGGGCCGAGGCCGGTGATCAGCACAGGGCCACCCAGGGCCAGCTGTCTGCACCTAAACGTCATGTTGGTCTGGATGTCTCAGGGCCAGAACTCTCCAGGTAAGATGGCCTGGTCCTCAGCACCTGGCCTCCATGCTCCTTTTTCCTCTGTTCAATCCTGGCCCCAATGCCTCCCGCAACTCTCAGGTCACCATTGGAGAAGATGCTCAGGAAGAACAAGGAGCTGCAGTCAACCCTGCTGAAGGTGGCATATGGGTCCAGGCTCTTGAGCTGGTCTTCGACATGGTACATGTGGATGCAGGCTTTGAGCAGTGTGAGTAGCTCTTTCCGGAAGGAGGGGAAAACGGTGTTACCAGGGTCCTACACCCTAGAACGACCCATCTAGCACAGAAAACAGTTTGCAACGTGCTATTATGTGTGATTTTAATTTTGGGCTTTAGGCTTTCATTTCCAAATTCCACAATAAACACATAAGGTGGGGTTCTGATTTCAACACACACACACACACACACACACACACACACACACACACACACATTCTCTCTCTCTTCCTCTCTCTTAGAATCTTCCAGTGAATTCACACTGAAAGCCGAAGTCCTCCCAGAATCTTGTGAGAACCTAAATGATCTGAATAGTTTGTCATTGCTTTTAGGGATCTGGGAAAATCTCTGCACATTTCTGGAGACCGCTGTTATGCCATTTTTAATAAATCTGTTGTGCTTCAATTCAGAAGTGTGTGAGGGGAGTTGTGGAGGAATTGGCATTTGGGTTAGAAATTCCAGGAACAACAGAGACAGATGACACCTGTTTTCTGCTTCATAATGTCAAGTTTTATGAAGGCTAAAACCTAATTCTACAAAAAAAATTAGACTGAAAAACTTTATAGGCAAAAATTATCTTATTAAATAGGAAAATCTAATTATTTTATTTTAAAATTTTCTTTTCCTTAGTAGGACCTAATCATAGAAATTTAAACACTGTATGCCAACAGCCTCTACTGTAGGATGGTTTATTGTAAGTACTCATTTTACAGATTTCTTACAAAAACTTTTTCCGTAAGAGAAATTAGAATATTGTTCAACATATATTGAATTCACAATTATTACCTTATTTCTCACTTATTATTTTATGATTCTGTTTTCTTTAATATGAAGATTACTATGACTGTGTTTTCACTTTCTGAATTATCATGTGTCACATTTTTCTGTAATTTCAGTTTGAGAAGTTGTAAAACAGCATGCTCAAATGTATATGTTATGTATCAATTATATAATTAATTATTAAAATATTTGGCTTGTATGTTTAATTGACTCTAGGCACAATATTACTATTAGCATTTTCTTCCAGTTTTCCCAACTTTTATTTGACTAATAGTACAATTTATTTCCAGTTTTTATTTTATCTGTCAATGTTTTATACTGTATTTACAATATTTATATTGTTACCATATGTAAAAATGTAAGACCTTTCTATTAAAGGCTAGATTACAGCCTTACCCTTTTGTGTAAGGAAAGAAGCAATGCATCAGTAGCATAATTTAAAACTTTCTCTAGTATTACTTAAATTTTTATTCCTTAAAACTTTCTCATCACATCTCTTTTTAATAATTATAATATGGTTTCTTTGAAATGTTGTTGCCCTAATTGTATCCAAGTAATTCAAAATTTATACTTTTTATGGATTCAAAGGAAGAGTTGAAAATTGTAGTTACCTAGGATTCTTTTTCAGTTGGACACTATGTTTATTCAGGATTTTATAGATCAAAGTTTCTCTTAATTATGTTTTAGAATTTATGTTTCTGTATTTTTTAGAGTAGGCTGTCTCACAGCAGTTAATTGTGTTTTTACTTTCTACCTATTTATTATGATTTTGAATTACATTATTCAAGTAAGAATTCGGGGAAGGTTTCTTTTAAGTTTGTTTTGCAATTTTGCATTTCTGTGTTTCATGTTTTAGGGTAGGGCACCTTACATCAGTTTATTGTTTTTAGTTTGAATTTATATAATATAATTTTCTATGACAATATTCAAATCTGTACAGCTTAAGACAGTGTGAGGCAAAAAATATGAAGCATCCCTATGGTCTTTTGTTAATATAATGATTTAATTGTTTGTTTGCTTGTATAAATATTGCCCCTATTTTGTTTATGACTTGTGTATTTTCTTCTTGTTTGATGGACAATAATTGATTCTGTCTAAGTGAGTAATCATGGAAATTGTCTTAATTTCAACATCTATTGTTTATATTATCCTAGTGTGAAAGAAAGACTTATGCGATTTGAAGATAATTTTTCAAAAACTTTGTAACTCTCTCTCTTCAGGTGTCTTTACTTATTTATTTTTTGACAGACTCTCACCCTGTCGCCAAAGTGCAGTGGCACAATCTTGGCTCACTGCAACCTCCACCTCCCAGGTTAAAGCAATTCTCCAGCTGCTGCCTCTTGAGTAGCTGGCATTAAAAGTGTGCACTACCACGCCTGGTTAATTTTTGTGTTTTTCATAGAGCTGGGGTTTCACCATGTTGGCCAGGCTGGTCTTGAACTCATGGCCTCAAGTAATCTGCATGCCTCAGCCTCCCAGAGTGCTGAGATTACAGGCATGAGCCATCTCTCTTGGCCCTTGGGTGTCATTTTTAATTTCGATTGTGGTAAAAATACATAACATAAAATTTAGAATCTTTAATATTTTTTCTTATACAGTTCAGTCATGTTAATGTATTTACATTGCTTTGCAACATATTTGTAAAACTTTTTTCTTTTGCAAAACTGAAACTCAGGACACATGAAATGACAACTACCCATTTTCCTTACAACCTGGCTCCTGATAAAAATCATTCTATTTTCTGTTTCTAAGTTTCAATACTTTAGATATTACATATAAGTAGAATCATAGAGTATCTGTTTTATTGTGACTAATTTTACTTAGCATCATGTTCTCAAGATTTCTCTTTATTGTGGATGGTACAAGATTTTCTGCCTTTAAAAGCTGAGTAATATTCCATTACTTTTGTATTACAAATTATATTTATTTATTCATTCTATGAGGAAAGTTTGTGTTGCTTTCACCTATTGGCCTTTGTGAATAATGCTGCAATGAATATTGGTATGCAAATAGCTATTTGCTCATATGTATGAGGTTTACATGTGTGCTACCTTCTGTTTTATTGGAAAAATTGTCTGTCTTTATGCTAGAAACAAACTGTTTTCATTGCTGTTGCTTTGTAATGTGCTTTGAAATCAGAAAATTGAGGCCGCTAACATTGTTTTTTTTTAAAACATTTTTGGGCTCTTTATGGTCGCTTGAGATTCCATATAATTTGTTGGTTCCTTTTTCTATTTCAAAAACATTGCTAATTTAAAAGGGATTGCATTGAATCTGTAACTCGCTTTAGGCATCATGAGCATTCTTCATAATATCAAGTCTTACAACCCTTAAACATGAGCATGCTCAAAAGTGAGTTGTTTAATTTCCATATATATGTTGCTATTTTTGTTTTCTTCTGTTATTCATTTCTAGTTTTATTCCATTTTGATCAGAAATAATAGTCACTGAAAGGCTAAACCACTCTGGGAAGTGACCCCCATTATAGAACATTACAAAGAGATGTGAGGGCACCACTTCTGCCCTGATGGGCTAGAGGGATGTGTTCTCTGAGATGACACGTTGCAGACAAATGCAGGGAACAATATAACCCCCTTTTCATGTAAACTCTTCCTTATTTTTCTAGAGTATTAGTGATAGTGGTGGCTTTGAAGTCTTGGGGAAGGTCTGGCAGTGCCGTGAACCTGCCTGCTACAGGTGATACCAGGGGGGAAAAATTAAAACCATACAAACTGTAGAAACATGAATAAATACAGCCTAGTGTAAAGTAAAAACAACACAAAGGCCTTCTCTGATATTTCTACAAGAATGTAAAAAGGGACTTTACACTTAACCAAGCTGCCTTTGGGACTAGTTAAGGCTAGATTTTTGGGAGGCACATCTTTGGGTCACTCATGGAAATCCCCTAAGAGAGAGCCCAGAGAAATTCCATATTTGGGTCTGGATCCTGGGCCCATCCTGGTTTTGTCAGACCCCTGTCTGTAGAGACCCCCATGTGCCTGCTCTCACCGTAACTCACTGTATGCCATGCTTGGGGGTGTGGTGAACCTGCCAGTTGTCCAAGGAGATGGGGGACTTGAACCCATCAAATATCTGCTCAATGATTTTAATGAAACTCTACAGAGAGTGTTCCCAGCAGTGAAGCAGGAAAAAAAAAAAAAGAAAAAAGAAAAAAAATTAATTATCTCCTTTGTTTTTACCACCAGGTGACATCTCCATTAGAAATTCTGTTTCCTAGATCAGGAACATAGGAGTATCTGCATAGACCCCCAGCCAATGAGGAAACCCGAGGACAGCTTAAGGCCTTGGGATTCACATCTGAGTAGACACACTTGGTCCACAATGCTCAACTTTTTATTCCACCAGCCATGACCTGGGTATGAACATGACATAGCCGCCAGGGTTCCAATGCCTTACAGCCTGCCCCTGTGAGAAAGAGCCCCCTCCTTTCCTGCTCCCCCTGCAACACATGGTAATGGTAGACAGGGTCGGGTTGCCCAGATTAGATGACACGGGTGGCCTGGCATGGACGGACCTGACCTGGGCTTCACTGTGTTACCTCTGTTTGCCTCTTGTTGAATGGCCAGTGGTATCAAGGATGTGGGCTGAGCCAATATGTATATGGTCAGAAAAGTCTCTCACTTTGAACCTTTCTCAGGCAACAGCTTAGGAATATAGCACACAATGAGAACACAGTACTCTCTCAAGCATCTCCCATGAAATTAGCTAGATAGAGGGCTCTCTCTAGAATGTGGGTTTCTGTTTCCCAAAGTTCTAAATTCTGTTAGGTTCTGTCACAAGGGAAGTCTGTTAACTTCTTCAAGGTTTTATCCCCTGAGCCCTTTTCCTCCATAAATCTATGCAAAGTCCCTACTGGGCTGCTGATTGCTCACCCTCATCTCCCATGTCAACTCTTTTCCTGTAAACAGTTATGCAAACACAATTATGCCTCTTACTCCCCAAAAAGATCTAAATACAGCCAGGGCCCCAGGTTTGAGAGAACAGAGTTGGATTAAAATCTTCTTTTCCTTTTCATTTCTGTGACCATATGAAAATGACTGTGTGCTTCAGTTCTCCCCAGCCCTGAAGTATGCATAATGGGATTAGGCTAGCATCAACTTCCAGAAAGAGTCATTGGCGATATATGAGATAGAATGAATCAAAATCAGTTGGATGTAGTTGCTCTTGCCTGTAATCTTAGCAGATTGGTAGACCAAGATGGGTGGAACACTTAAGGCCAGGGGTTTGAAACCAGCCATGGCCAGCATGGCAAAAACCCTTCTCCACTAAAAATGCAAAAATTAGCCAGATGTGTTGATGCTTGCCTGTAATCCCAGCCACTCAGGAGGCTGAGGTGTAAGAATCACCTGAGCCAAGGAAGCAGAGATTACATTGAGCCTTGATCATGCCTCTGCACTCCAGCCTGGGTGACATAGCGAGACTGTGTCTCAAAAAAATATATATACTATGTATATATAATTTATATTTATATATTATATATAATATATAAACTTATACATATACACCTTTATGTATAAAAGATATATATTTCATATATCTGTATACATAAAAGATATATATTTTATATATATGGCCTTATTTTTCCATTCTACAGCAGAAGAGGTTGAAATCAAAAGAAAATCAGATACTGTATTCTGGCATTAAATATTCCAGTGCTGTGCATTATATTTGGAATCACATGTATATGCTTCATCTCAGCCTATGTGGTGGGCACCCCCAACAAAGTCTCACAACAACACTAAGTTGTGAGTGACTCTGTTATTTAAAAACGCAGCTCACCGCTCAGTGCCTCAGAAGCCGGTACTATAACACCGGGTTTCCAACAAAGACATTGGATTCCAGCTGAAGCCTCTTTCCCTGTGCTTACTTAAAGGTAGTAATATTCTCAGAAAGGTTTAAGAGGTGGCTTCTTGTTTAGCAGGGAATTGCTGAAAGGAAAAATGTATGGAAAGTCACTGGGCATGAACAGCCATCTTTTCCTGCTACACACAGGTCATGTGCAAATTTGGGGACAGTTAGTACAAAACATGTGATGGAAATTTGGGCTCTTACATCAGTGAGCTTATTTCACACAGACTCCAGTTGACCATATTGGTTCCAACCAATTTTAGCCACTTTTTAGAAGTCTCATAAGTGGAATAAATTTCATTCTTTCAACAAGTTCTATCTTTTCTTATCTGTCATTCTGCAAACTGAAGAATTTCTGCTAGTCGTTGGTTGAACTCTTTGGGGACCTGGTTCTAGTTTCTGTCAAAGAGAATACAACAAATGTGATAGGTTATCACTTCTGACTTAGTTCAGGCTTCTATACCAAAAAACATAGACTAGGCAACTTATAAACAAAAGACTTTAGTTCTGGAGGCTAGAAATTTGAGATTGGCTTCCAGCATGGTTGTGGTCTGGTAAGGACTCTCTTCTGAGTTTCGAACTCCAGACTTCAGGTTGTATTCTCATTTAGCAGAGAGAAGGACAGACAGCCTTCTGCGGTTTCTTTTACAAAGCCAGTAATCTCTACCACGAGGGCCTCATGCTTAGGACTTAATTACCTCTGACCTGCTAAGGCCATTAAACTGGGGATTAATGTTCTGGAATGTGAATATGGTGGGGAATCACATAGTCTACTGCAACTTCCAAAGTTATATTTCCAAAACAGCTATTATTTTCCTCCCACTTGCTCTGTCCTGTGTTTCGTCTCTCAATCTCTCTGTCTCCCTTTCTCTTTTTCTGTGCATATGTCTGTCTATCTCTTTCATTTTCCATCTCTCTATTGTATTCTTCAAGATGAGGAAGCGATCTCCAGTGTCCTAAGATGCTCTAGGCACAGACCCACATGATAGAGAACTGAGGAACTGCCCAGGCCAATCAACAGGAAGAAACTGGTGTTCTCAGTTCACACTGAATCCTGCCAATTTCCATGAGGCAGATTGGAGGCTGATCTCTCCCCAAATCCAGCTTCAGTTGAAATCACAGCCCCAGCCTCATAGGGGACCTTGAGGCAGAGGCACCCAACTAAGCTATATCGAGATTCTGATTCACAAAATTGTGAGATAGTATTGTTGTCAAAATGTGCTAAAATTCAGGGCAATGTTGTCAGAGAGCGGCAAATGACTAATCTCCTCTTTCAGGCCCCAGGATACACCCTCCCCTCTTTTCCTTTCTTTCTCAGGCTGCCTACAGCCACACTTGTCCCTTTATAACCTCCTCTGCTAAACTGACTTGTGCCTCTGAGTCTTTTCACAAAGAGTGGCTTTTCCCTGACACACTTTCCACACCTGCGCAGTTGTCATTCTCGTCACAACATAATGTCACCTCAGGGAGGCATTCATGTCTCCTCCAGGCAACCTCTCCCCAGCCCTCCCTCCCAACATTCTACTTTATTTCCATTATAAAATGCTCTTTTCTTTCGCATGTACTTGCTTTAGTGTTTTTGTCCTGCCGTCCTCAGACTGTAGGCTCCCCGCGGGGATGCAGGGATAACATAATCGTTTTTGGTACCACATGGTGAACCTACCAAGGTAGCTGCCACAGGGTGAGTGCTAGGGAAGAGTCGCTGAGTAAAATAACATGGAAAATCACAAAGTCCTTCCTGCTTTCGGTCACCCAATAATGTGGAGATCAAGAATGATAACAGGAGCTGCAGGCCCTCAGCCTGTCTCTCCACGGCTCCAGCTACTCCAGTCAAGTCCAGCGGGCACAAGAAACACGGGGTCTGCAGCCACCTAGAGACCTCCGCTAGCACTGTAGTCCCAGGCAGAAGCATCACAAAACAGGTACCTGCACTGGGGAATTCTCAAGGCAGTGGCTCTTCAGGGACCCCTGGGAAAAGGAGCAGTATCTGAAGGCTCCAAGGGCCATAAAAGTGACCTCGGAAGCCTCCCTTGATTCCTATTTTCCTCAGCCTCTTTGAGTGTGCTGTGCACTCATTAAACATTTTAACAGCATTCGGCGACATTATTTTCTTCCACTTCCGAATGAGGACCTCAAGGACAGCCCAAAAAACTAGTATTTTTTCTGGGCCCCACACTCCAGAGCCCAGTGCATTGTCACATTGTGCTTTATTCCAAGTCCTCATCCGCCCAAGTCTCTAGGCCTCTCTCTTCTCTGAAGGACCTCTAGAAACTGAAAAGCCTCTTCCCAGAGTCTCAAAGCACAGTGATTTACCAATGAAAAGCCAAGGGCGGCAGACACCTATGAGTATCTAGAATCCTTGGTATTATTCCTTCTCAGTACCCCTATTTATGAGGGAGAAAACAAAGGCTTTCTTTCCCGTAGCCTGTCTTTATATCACACGGGGTGGTGGGTGGAGGGCATAGCTCATTTTAGTTCCAGGTGCCCACAGAAGTGGGAGTCACAACCCCAGTCCTGTCCTCTTGAAACAGCTGGGAAAGTCCCCAGGCTTGGAAGAACCCAGGGAACCTGGAGGATCCTTCATCGCATGCTGTCAGCTCCTGGTCATGTAGCTGGGGGAGTGGATGCCTCTGCCTCATGGCAAAGCTGCATCTACTGTTTCTTCCCCTTTTGTCACTTCTTTGGTTTCCTCTTCCCTAACCTCACTTTAGAATCTCCACTTTAGATCTCCAATTTAGAAGCCTGTGTGTGTGTGTGTGTGTGTGTGATGTGTTTGTGTGTGCATGCCTGCACGCCTATGTGACAACATTGAAGAGTAGAAAGCCCAGGTAGAAAGTAGAGCACAGGGTTTTCCAGGACTCATGGGCTCTCATTTCCAAAGCAAACCTGATGGGTGGGGTGCATGCAAGGCCTAGGAAGCTGGATCCCTCCCTAATACTCTGTGCTTTGCCCAATTTGTGGGATCTGGACCAGTCTTTGCCTTTTTGGGAGGTCTCAGTCTTCCTGTTGTAAAATAAAGAGTTGGCTACAAAACTGTATGAGCACATGCTCAGTGAAGACAGGGTGTCATGCTCAATACCACAGAGAATATTGGGATGGGGAAAGTTTGGGCAGACTTAGGTGTCCATGCGTGCTCAGGCCTCTGAACAGGGCCAGTGCAGGCAAACATAAAGCACAGCACAGCCAGGTTTTCTTTCCAGGGCTACAGGATGAAACAGTGCACCACAGGATCTGCTCTTGAGGTCGGTCCCGCAAGATTTTCCCACCTTCAACCAGCAACTGTTTGATGAATTTCATGTCCTGTGAAGCCCATATCCACCCCCATTACAGTGAGGGGCACAGGGCACTAGACCTGTAAAATAATGTCTTTTGCCTTTTTTTCTTTTCTTTTCTTTTTCTTTTTTTTTTTTTTAACTGAGTGGATGTTTCTTCTTTCTCTTTATCTGTTTTGTTTGTTTTTTAACTAATTTTTAAGAGGTCTTTACAGGTCAGCTGTGGTGCCTCGCACCTGTAATTTCAACACTTTGGGAGGATGAGGCAGGTGGATTATTTGAGGTCAGGAGTTCAAAACCAGCCTGGCGAACCTGGTGAAAATCCGTCTCTACTAAACTTACAAAAAAATTAGCGGGGAATGGTGGCCCAAGCCTGTAGCCCCAGCTACTCAGGAGGCTGAGACAGAAGAATTGCTGAAACTTGGGAGGCGGAGGTTGCAGTGAGCCGAGATTGCACGACTGCACTCCAGACTGGGTGACAGAGTGAGTCTCTGTAAAAAAAAAAAAAAAAGAGAGAGAGAGAGGGAGAGAGAGAGTGCTCTTCATGGAAACATGAGCCCCTTTGTAATTTCATGTGTTGAAAATATTTATTCCAATTTTGCAATTTCTTTTCTTATTGTGGTGTTCTCTTTAAGTTTGGTTTAGATGTTATTAGTGTTTCTCCCCAAATTGATTTATTGATTTCCATTTTCACAATACAATATTTTGGCAGAAATCTTGTGGAAACTGTCTAATCAGTTTAAAAATTTAAATACATATTAAAAAATCAAAGAACTGTAAAAACTGTCCTGAAGAATGACAAAGTTTGTGAGCTTACAATGCCATATATTCAGACTTAGATTAAAGCTATAGTAATAAAAGCTATCTATGGTAGTAATGCAAAAATAGGCACAAAGAAAACTAGAAAAACTCGAGAGTCCAACTCAGACTCACACATTTAGACATTTTGTATATTACAAAACAGGCACAGAAGAGCAGTGGAGAGAAGACAGCATCTCGGTAATTAGCCTTGGGTCATCTGGTTATTTATGTGAGAAAGAAATAAACCTATCTTATATTGTTAACAAATTTCGAGACAAGTGGATTTTAAATTTTAAGGTGAAAATTGAAAACAATATTTCTAGTAGATAACATAGATAAGTATGTCCATGACTTTGGCACAGGCCAAGATTTCTTGGGACACAAAATGCATAAATTATCAAGACAAAAATATGACAAATTGGACTTTATTAGAATTAAAACCTTCTCTTCATAAAAAAAAAAGCTTCAGGAGAGCTGAAAGGCAAGAACAAAGTGGAAATCAACATTTGTCATATATTGATCTGGCAAAAGCTTTTTATCTAGATTATTAAGCTAAATCCCATCACTTAATAAACAAAGATGCATACATTGAACAAAATTGGCAAAGATATGACTAGGAGTTCCACATACAGAACCGAAGGGCCAACAAGTAGATGAACATATCCACATTCTTATGCATCAGAACAATGCATATGAAAACTACAATTGAATACCACTATGCAATCATTAACATTTTTGAAAACTGACAAAATTAAGTATTAGTGATGATGTCAAGCAACTGGAACTTTCTTATACCATTCTGTGTGCAAACTGTTATAACCACATTCAAAACCACTTGAGTAGTAACTCCTTACATACACGATGTACATAAGCACACTCTAGAACCCAGCAACTCTGCTACTAGGTATATACACCCAATAGAATTGCCAGCATATTTTCCAATGTAGTAAAGTGCTCGAAGTAGCATTATTTGGTACTTTTCCAAACTGAAAAAAACTCAAATGTGCATCAATAATAAAATAAATAACTAAAACAGCTACATATTCCTTTATAAGGGGACATTATACAGATATAAAATTAATTGGAGACATATTAAAATATACAAAAATCTAACAAATACAATTTAATTAGATTTAAAAGTCCTATCCAGAGCAATCGGCCAATAAAAAAGAAAAAGGCATACAAATAGAAAAAGAAATTGAATTCTCTTTCTCCATTTGCAATATGAGTCACTACGTAGAGAATGCTAAAGCCTCTCCAAAACTACTTTTGGGGAAAACTTGAAAAGCCTCCTGAAACGGATAAGCAAGTAAAGTTTTAGGACACAAAACCAATGTACAAAAATAAGCAGCATTTCTATGCATCAACAACTTTGAATTCCTGAACATCTTCTGGTTTTATTGCATTTTCAATTTTTTCCCTCCATTAACTATACATTTTTTCTTTTTTCAGCTAAACTAATTTATTCTTCTGTATAATTTCACCTTGTTAATAAACCCCAGGCCAAAAAGTGGGAATAAAGTATTTGTCTGCATCCTGTTTCCTCATTTTGAAAACTAGTCTAGACGAAACCTATACTTGTTCTAGGGAGTTGGCATAGACAGCATTTATTTCCGTTCTCAGCAGTGATGCCAGCCAGAAAGAGGGAGTTCCCCATTTTCACTTTGGTTAGACAGGACTCTGGATGGTTGAAGGGGAAAAGTTTCAGACTCTAAGGGAGCCAAATAGGATATTACAAAGATTTATGCATTTACTCCGGGAGCAATTATTGTGTTAAATTTTGTGCAAAACACTGCGCAAACAGCAATTAAAGTGAAAATTATTAAGGCATTACCTTTACCTTGGGAAACTCACACTAGTCAGATTCTCCGAACCCCAGAACATAACAACAACCTAGTAAAATCTTGTTCAGAGTGAAGAGAGGGTGGGAGCAGGAAGGTAAGGTTAAAAATTAGGCTGGGTGAATGAGATAATTACCCCTAGTCAAGCAGTGGAAGTATGGATGGCTTTGGGATGGGTGAAGACAAAAGAATCTCAGCAGAGGGTGCAGATAAAAAAAGGCAGAAACACAGGAGGCTTATGCAGGAAGAGGAATGAGTTTGCTGGACTGGGGAGAGTGACAGTAAAAAGCAGAGGATAATAGGCATCTCTGGTCATCTAGGGACTATAGGGTGGATTAGTTGGGGGTTACAGAATCAGTGAGGTACTTTTTAACAGTAGGATGGGTAAATAAGAGCTATAATTTGGAATAATTATGTAGCAATGGTGGTTAGGAGCAATAGAAACTCAAAGTATTACATAAATATGTTTTTTTCTTATTCTCCCACACAAGCCTTTCACCTTCCCTCTTAAACTGAGAACGGAGTGGTTTGCTATGATGTTTTTAAATTCTCACAGGCAAGCATTACTCTGTGCTGCCTTTTAATAAAGGCTAATTTTAACCAAATTAAAGAAGATTGAATGGATTTTCTTGATCATAATGGTTGAGTACAACATCTCTTACCTTCTACTAGTTTTCAGTATAACTGAAGTAACAGAATGTCAATACTCCATGGAGGGGTGTTCCTCTTGCTAAGGCTCCCTCCTCTGGGCTAGGCCTTCTACACCATGGCTGTCCTGCTGTGGCTGGAGCTGGAATTTGGATTGACCTCTGTGTGTCTTCCTAGCACACAATAGGTGTCCAATTAGCATGGGCAGAATCAAGCTCCTCCCTCTCACCATTTATTTCTCCATTTGTCCCTTGTTGGGAATGGAGAGTCCTGCCACTGAGTTCAGCCCAGGGTTGAAGTTCAAATCTCAGCTGATACTTGGTGGATGTTGACTTTTTTGAGAAGAACTTGGGAGAATAAAACATTATAAAGGCGCTGGCCAGGCACGGTGTCTCATGCCTGTATTCCTGGCATATTGATTGGCTGAGGAGATAGAATTGCTTGAGGCCAGGAATTTGATACCAGCCTTGTCAACATAGTGAGACCCCATTTATACAAAAAACTTGAAGCATTAAAAACATTTAGCCTGGTGTGATAGTTCCAAACTGTTGTCTCAGCTATGCTGGACATTGAGGCAGAGGATCACTTGAGCCAGGAGTTCTAGGCTACAGGGAGCTATGATCGTGCTGCTGCACTCCAACCAGGGCAACTATGCAAGATGTTTCAAAAATAAAATCTTTTATTATTCTTCACCCCTATAGTCTCTCCAGAACTTGTGCACTATGTAGCAGAAAGAATCAAACTCCCCAAGAGTTTGGTTCTTGCTTATGATTTGGTTTTCTGCTGCTTGGCTGCCCCCTCATTTCCCCATTTTGTATAAATAAGAACCCCCAGGTGAAGTGGAGTTTCTCCCCAGCAGAGGGTCTCACCAAGGCCCCAGGACTGGCACTTTAGGTGGAGGCTTGCCTTTCAACCTCTGAATAATAATTGATACTAAAATTGAGAAGTTTTCCAGACACCAGCTTCCTGAAAGGAGCACCCAGTCGAGACAAGATGAGGTCAGTAGCGAAGGTGACCCAGGCTGAGTGGGCCGTACATTCCTCTACTTTTCCCAAACTTCCCTCTGACATCCTACAAACTTTCTGTCTTCCCAGGACTTTCTTGCCAGGGAGTCTAATGAAGTAAAAGCTTTAAAATTGCTTTGATTTTAAAAATAATTTTATTGGTTCTTAAAATGTACTGTTAAATATTACTGTTTTTCTTCCCCCAGGGGCTACGTGAACATAAGCTCGGTTTTCACACTAGCAGCATTTAGAAATGTCTCTTCTGGAGGAACACTGATGCTCTCAATCACACGTGGTAATTCTCTCCTCCAGGCACAAAATGCAGTCTCAGCATCTCTGTATCAGGAGTCACTGTCTAAGTCTCTCCAGAGAAATAAGCTACCCAGGCCATCCAGCTGCTGGTGAGTTGCTTTGTGGTCATGAACTGGGTAGATTTCCTCATCTCATGCTCATTGGCCACATTCAGGATTAATGATTCAATGCTTTTGTTGTTCCAGAAGCTGTGGTCAGTGGCTATGCAGGAGTCAGTCTTTCAGTGCTGATCTTTGCTGAGAAAATAATAGTATTGTTCAAACAGTATATAGGATTTGCACTCAATATTTAATAATTTAGTGACAAAAATCTCTTAAATATACATTATACTGATATAAAATAAGTTACTCATCTATTATCAAATTTACTCTTTTATTTAATATAACTCTTGGGATAACATTTTCTTTTATGCTTCCATAAATATGCTTCACATGGATATATCACATATTGTGTATAATTTCACACAGTGTTAATATAGTTTCCATCTATTTAGATGTTTGCACATTTATTTTATCTCAATGTTTGTTCTCAGGAAGAGTGTTTTTCTTTATAAACTAAATTTTCAGCAAATTTTAAATGCATTTCACTGACGTAATTATACTTACATTGTATTTGTGTATTAAGTTACATTTTGTCCTTAAACCTGAAAATAACTTTTCAAATATATGTAATTTTAAATTTACATGTTTTTCCCTCAGAACTTTGAAAACCATAACCTATTGGATTCTTGATCTTATTCACATATTGAGAAATATGTTTCTTTTCATTGCTTTATAATTAATTTGAATTTTATCTTAGATAGCTTTACGTGATTTTCTCTATTATGGTATTATGCTTTTAACTATTGTTTTTCTTTTGATCAGAATGCCTTTAAGCTATTATAATTAATTATTTTAATAATTATATATTTTTATTCCCTATTTGACATTCACTCCATTTTATTTATTCGAACTTGCACTTAAACAACATGACTTATTTTAGATTTTTATGTATTTTAATTTTTCATATTGTTTATTTGTTTTATCCCTATTGGGACTTCTAAATATTCACTTCATCATATCTTCTAATTCATAATTTCTTTTTCAATTATGTAATTTTTCTATGCATTCTATCCTTTAAATTTAAAATTTTTACCTAATTATTTTGATAATATAACTTATTTTGATCTTACTTTTAAACTTTTCCTCTAATATATTTAAACATTATAACTACTTATATTATTTCTACAGTATATATACAATTTTGGGATTTTTTAAGATGTAATGGTACAGCTGTGTTTTTCTTATAATTTTGTTTCTTAATAACTTTGATCTTGATGACTTTTACTTTGTATATTTTAAAAAGAATAGTAGACTTCATTTTATTATAAATGACTGACCTCAATTGATGGGGCCATTGAAGATTCTGGGTCGAGGTATTTTATTCCAGTGAAAAGTTATCTGTAATGTTAATAATGCACCCTTTACAGACACCTGAAAATGATTAAGTCTATATATTTACCTAAATTGTCCTGAGTAAAACACATAGTGTACATATAAACCAGAAACTCATATGATGATTGGTGTTAATTTCCAAATCAACCAAAGAGGAGAAATACCACCTCCACTAACTAACCTATTTTTCTAAACTTTTGAAAATTTAAGGATTCTAGCTTTAGATAGCATAGTCAGATCCAAGTACTCCTGCATCTATGCTGCTGTGACATTATATTCACCAATCAGACACGTTAAATTCTAACAACCTGTGCTTCCATTATTAGCAATTCCCACAGGTAGCATCAACTTCCAGCCTAATTTTTATTCTACAGCTGTGCTTCTTCATTCTTTCCTGAAAAATTATTTGTGGAGGTACATGCCTTTGAAGTTTCTCAGCATATATTGTTATTTGAGGTTGAAAAGATAAGATTATCTAAATTTTTGCCAGAAACTCTCATACCCACATTATATCTTTGAAAGCATTGGTTATCACACTGCTGCTGACATGTGCATGTAGGAGAAGCATGTAAATGTCAGCGCTTTGCAGTCTCTAAGGGGCTGAAATAAACAATACCGGAAATCTTGGCCACTGAGGCTCACATGTAGATTTTCATTCCCAGTCCAGGCATCTAGATTCAGGGGCACCTTCCTGAGGGCCTTTTGGTTGAGGCCTTCTTCAGAAACTTTTGTTCAGATCCCTGTTTCTGGAGAAGAAATGGAACTTTGATAATAATTTTTATAGATTCCTATTAATATTCAATTCTCTTTAATCTTGCTCATACATTCTCCTCTACGCTCTCCTGCCCCCTTTTCCACAAAATTGCGGGCCTGTTTTTTATGAGGGTGCCACCTCGGCAGTGAGACAGTGCCCCATATTTGTGCTGATCCATCTGACCCTTTCCTGGTGCTTTTCCATGAGGAAAAAATGGAACAATGAGGAGTCGGTGCTTGATCTAATGTTGCCTGTTGTTTAACACAATCACAGAAAGGAAGACAAAAAGGCATAACTATTTCTTTGATGTGGGCCTCTTGCTTTAATTTAAAACTCTGATATTAAGCAGGTTAGCTCTTCCCAGCTCAGCTCAGCTCTTGAAATTTCATGGAAGAAATTCTGTTTTTATTGGTCTAAATTTTGTGTCTTTTATATAGAAAAAAGGTAATAAAATTGCATCTTATATTTAAAAATTGAATGCCTTCTGTTTTGCCATTTTACTGAAGAGAAAATTTGTGTAGCCTATTGGCATTATTAACAGTGAAGCTCCAAGTACTAATATTCAGAAAAAATAATGAATCAAAATCCAACTATTTCTCAGTACCATTTTCTTTTTTATAAACTTTCTATTTTATTGTCTGTAATTTAAAAACTTCTGTGGAAAAGAGTTTAAAATTTTCAAAGTTAATACAAAATTATTTTTAGAGTTTCTTTTTGCATAATGTTTGTCGTAAGTAGCTAATATTAATAAATTGTAATCATCAATTCTTATCTAAGCTGCACGTTAAAAAATATGTTAATATTTGCTGCTGCCTAAAATATAATACATATTTACATAATCTAATTTACTAAAAATAGTAATAAACACATATAAATAATCAACATACACAGGTCATTTTTTCTATTTCTTACTTATATTTTATGTTTCATATTTGTATCAGCACACTTTATGTCCTAGTATCATATATGGAAACGTGCCTATTTTGCATATTGTTATATTAAATAATAAGACATATGCTTAGCTTCCCCTAGGTTAAATTTTTTACATAATTGTTATTAACGTAAATAATCCAGAAATTAAAGTTTTTAAAAAAATTTCCAGTGCCCTCACTGTGCATAATATAATTCTATTTTTTAAAGTGTTAGTGCTGTTTGCATTATATAAAAGAATATTTTAGTGTATCAACTAACTACATACCTGAAAGCATGGCTTACTTTTTCATTAGTATATACTTTTGGTTGTACTCGGCTATTTTTCTAAAAGTGCTTGCAAATCAGTTCCAGGCCACAGGGCTTTGTCTTCAACAAAATAAGAATATCTCAGAGACCCACAGAAATAACTGTACCAAGTACTCCTATAAACAGGCTTCTGATAGAATGACTTACATAACTTTGAAACACTATCAGTGGACTAAGTTATTTCTCTAATTCTAGCAGAGAAGCATATGTGCTTACAAGATAGAGTAAAACAAGTATGAATAAAACAGGACTAAATGAACTGACAAAGAATGATAATAGGTTTTGTTTGGAATGTGAACATAAAACATTCCTGCTATTATTTCCTTGGTATCTAAACATGAGCTAATGGGAGCCGTTGTTACATGTTGTACACCCTTAAGAAGGTTTACAGTTTTTCGTCTCACCTATATTCGTAGTTGTCTTTATTTGTGGTTTAGAATCTCAGCTCTTTTCATAGCTGCCTGGCACTCATCTTGTATGAGCTCCTTTGTGTTTCTGAAGCCTCTGGCATACACCGAGGGTGTGGGTTTGCCTGGAATGTAGCATCAACCTGTAGAGAACAGGATTTTCCATGACCCAGTCATTGAATAAACTTGATATCTGCTTCTGCTGTTGAGAAAACATTATTTCTCCTTCAGGAATATCCACCCTCTTCATCAAGAACATCGTGTCATTCTTCAGGGTCACAGAATGCTCTACAGCCTACTTCCTGGTGTCCACCAAGGAGGAGATTAGTTGCATCTGAATTCAAGGAAGATTCGAGAGGGCTCACAGCTGCAGAATTCCAATCACTCTCAGTCTGACTGTGCTGATTTTAGAAAGACACATGGGGATCTGCCACAAGGAAGGCACTTTGCAGGGAGGCCTCAACCCCATGGCACACCCCTTCAGGAGGGCTCTTCTCCTTGTAACAGTCACTTAGCCACTTGTAGAAAGGCAACTCTTAGAAAATTTAAATGGGGACCAAAATACTAACCCTAACCAGTTTATTATCTCAAAGAATTGGAAAAACAAAGTTTTCGAATACTACGGGATTAGAAGAGTAAACAAGATATGCCTTTTCTTTGGAGCTACATATATGTATTAAAAATGGGATGTACAAAGAATTTTTTATCACATGGAGAAGTGCTTATGAGATGATATAACATTAAACAAATTAATGAAAGGCACACATTAAAAAGTATAACCAAACTTATACATTAGAGCTCAAAATTTAAAATGTGTAGAAAAATGATTGAGAGGAAATATGCCGAATTATAGGAATTGATGTGTTTCTTACAGGAAGCAGGATCCTGTGAGAAATTAAATTGCTTTATTGATTCTCTTGTAATTTTATAGTTTCCAAAAGTTCTACAGAGAGTGTAATGTAGGACCTTAGTCAGGAATAAACATCTCTTTAAATAAGCAGCAGAGAATTTCAAAGGAAGTGTGTGGTATGGGTTTATGTGTTTCTTTCAAGATCTAATATTTTCCACGTAGTGCTTCAGAAAAGATAAGGTAATTTCAACAACTTAACCCCATCATCAAGAGGGTGTTACTTAAGTACATTATGGGAGGTCATAGATAAACAACCAGTCAGCCTCTAAGCATCAGAAAATCTGTGATGTCCATTGGCCTGTGAGATGGTCTGCATTTCTTTGAAGGAAAAAAGCAGGTTTTAAAACACTAGAACCGAATCAAATCCAAATTTGAATAGAAAGATTAGAAAGGCTTATGCATGGGAAAAAGATTCAGGGTATTCAACGGTTAATTCTGACTATTTCTGAGTAATTTAAATTTACCTATAATTTAAAAAAAAAATTAAGGTCAGGTGTGTTGACTCAAACCTGTAATCCCAGCATTTTGGGAGGCCGAGGTGGGTGAATCACTTGAGACCAGGAGTTTGCGACCAGTATGGGCACCATGGCAAAACCTCATATCTACTAAAAACACAAAAAATAGCCAATTGGTGGTGTGTGCTTGTAGTCCCAGCTACTTGGGAGGCTGACGCATGAGAATCGCTTGAACCTAGGGGGTGGAGGTTGCAATAACCCAAGATCTCACCACTGCACTCCAGTCTGGGTGACAGAGCAAGACCTTGTTTCAAAAAAAATTTTTTTTGTATTTTAATTAGGAATCAAATAAGATAATTAAATGTAAACTTACACTTAATTTACTTTTTAAGCATTTTAAGAATTGGTATTCTAATTTTGTGTCGGTACATTTTAAGAATCAATAAAATTATTTTTAAAATCAAAGCAATTTTAAAGCTTTTACTTCATTAGACTCCCTGGCAAGAAAGCCCTGGGAAGATAGAAAGTTTGGAGGATGTCAGAGGGAAGTTTGGGAAAAGTAGAGGAATATATGGAGGGCAGAAGGAGTGAACATTAGGGAAACCCTCCCCTAGCTCAGTCTTCAGATACGCTGGTGGACTTCCCCACTCAGCCTGAGTCACCTTCGCTACTGACCTCATCTTGTCTTCTGACTGGATGCTCCTTTCAGGAAGCTGGTGTCTGGAAAACTTCTCAATTTTAGTATCAATTATTATTCAGAGGCTGAAAGGCAAGCCTCCACCTAAAGTGCCAGTCTTGGGGCCTTGGTGAGACCCTCTGCTGGGGAGAAACTCCACTTCACTGGGGGGTTCTTATTTTATACAAAATGGGGACATGACGGGGCAGCCAAGCAGCAGAAAACCAAATCATGAGCAAGAACCAAACTCTTGGGGAGTTTGATTCTTTCTGCTACATAGTGCACAAGTTCTGGAGAGACTATAGGGGTGAAGAATAATAAAAGATTTTATTTTTGAATCATCTTGCGTGGTTGCCTGTTTGGAGTGCAGTAGCGTGATCATAGTTCACCGCAGCCTAGAACTCCTGGCTCAAGTGATCCTCTGCCTCAATATCCAGCATAGCTGAGACAACAGTTTGGAACTATCACACCTGGCTAAATGTTTTTAATGCTTCAAGTTTTTTGTATAAATGGGGTCTCACTATGTTGACAAGGCTGGTATCAAATTCCTGGCCTCAAGCAATTCTATCTCCTCAGCCAATCAATATGCCAGGAATACAGGCATGAGACACCGTGCCTGGCCAGCGCCTTTATAATGTTTTATTCTCCCAAGTTCTTCTCAAAAAAGTCAACATCCACCAAGTATCAGCTGAGATTTGAACTTCAACCCTGGGCTGAACTCAGTGGCAGGACTCTCCATTCCCAACAAGGGACAAATGGAGAAATAAATGGTGAGAGGGAGGAGCTTGATTCTGCCCATGCTAATTGGACACCTATTGTGTGCTAGGAAGACACACAGAGGTCAATCCAAATTCCAGCTCCAGCCACAGCAGGACAGCCATGGTGTAGAAGGCCTAGCCCAGAGGAGGGAGCCTTAGCAAGCGGAACACCCCTCCATGGAGTATTGACACTCTGTTATTTCAGTTATACTGAAAACTAGTAGAAGGTATGAGATATTGCACTCAACCCTTATGAGCAAGAAAATCCATTCAATCTTCTTTAATTTGGTTAAAACTAACCTTTACTAAAAGGCAGCAAACAATAATGCTTGTCTGTGAGAATTTAAAAACATCATAGCAAACCACTCCGTTCTCAGTTTAAGAGGAAAGGCAAAACGCTTGTGTGGGAGAATAAGAAAAAAAATATTTATGTAATACTTTGAGTTTCTATTGCTCCTAACCACCATTGCTACATAATTATTCCAAATTATAGCTCTTATTTACCCATCCTACTGTTAAAAAGTACCTCACTGATTCTGTAACCCCCAACTAATCCACCCTATAGTCCCTAGATGACCAGAGATGCCTATTATCCTCTGCTTTTTACTGTCACTCTCCCCAGTCCAGCAAACTCATTCCTCTTCCTGCATAAGCCTCCTGTGTTTCTGCCTTTTTTTATCTGCACCCTCTGCTGAGATTCTTTTGTCTTCACCCATCCCAAAGCCATCCATACTTCCACTGCTTGACTAGGGGTAATTATCTCATTCACCCAGCCTAATTTTTAATCTTACCTTCCTGCTCCCACCCTCTCTTCACTCTGAACAAGATTTTACTAGGTTGTTGTTATGTTCTGGGGTTCGGAGAATCTGACTAGTGTGAGTTTCCCAAGGTAAAGGTAATGCCTTAATAATTTTCACTTTAATTGCTCTTTGCGCAGTGTTTTGCACAAAATTTAACACAATAATTGCTCCCAGAGTAAATGTATAAATCTTTGCAATGTCTGATTTGACTCCCTTAGAGTTTGGATCTTTTCCCCTACAACCATCCAGAGTCCTGTCTAACCAAAGTGAAAATGCGGAACTCCCTCTTTCTGGTTGGCATCACTGCTGAGAACGGAAATAAATGCTGTCTATGCCAACTCCCTAGAACAAGTATAGGTTTCATCTAGACTAGTTTTCAAAATGAGGAAACAGGATGCAGACAAATACTTTATTCCCACTTTTTGGCCTGGGGTTTATTAACAAGGTGAAATTATACAGAAGAATAAATTAGTTTAGCTGAAAAAAGAAAAAATGTATAGTTAATGGAGGGAAAAAATTGAAAATGCAATAAAACCAGAAGATGTTCAGGAATTCAAAGTTGTTGATGCATAGAAATACTACTGGTTTTTGTACATTGGTTTTGTGTCCTAAAACTTTACTTGCTTATCCATTTCAGGAGGCTTTTCAAGTTTTCTCCAAAAGGAGTTTTGGAAAGACTTTAGCATTGTCTACGTAGTGACTCATAATGCAAATGGAGAAAGAGAATTCATTTTTTTTTTCTATTTGTATGCCTTTTTCTTTTCTATTGGCTGATTGCTGTGGATAGGACTTTTAAATCTAATTAAATTGTATTTGTTAGATTTTTGTATATTTTAATATGTCTCCAATTAATTTTATATCTGTATAATGTCCCCTTATAAAGGAATATGTAGCTGTTTTATTTAGTTATTTTATTACTGATGCACATTTGAGTTTTTTTCAGTTTGGAAAAGTACCAAATAATGCTGCTTAGAGCATTTGTCTGCATTGGAAAATATGCTGGCATTTCTATTGGGTGTATATACCTAGTAGCAGAGTTGCTGGGTCCTAGAGTGTGCTTATGTACATCGTGTATGTAAGGAGTTACTACTCAAGAGGTTTTGAATGCCGTTATAACAGTTTGCACACAGAATGGTATAAGAAAGTTCCAGTTGCTTGACATCATCACTAGTACTTAATTTTGTCAGTTTTCAAAAATGTGAATGATTGCATAGTGGCATTCAATTGTAGTTTTCATATGCATTGTTCTGATGCATAAGGATGTGGATATGTTCATCTACTTGTTGGCCCTTCGGTTCTGTATGTGGAACTCCTAGTCACATGTTTGTCAATTTTGTTCAATGTATTGCATCTTTGTTTATTAATTGATGGGATTTAGTTAAATAAACTAGATAAAAGGCTTTTGCCACATCAATATATGACAAATGTTGATTTCCACTTTGTTCTTGCCTTTCAGCTCTCCTGAAGGTTTTTTTTATGAAGAGAAGGTTTTAATTGTAATAAAGTCCAATTTGTCATATTTTTGTCTTGAGAATTAATGCATTTTGTGTCCCAAGAAATCTGGGCCTGTGCCAGTCATGGACATATTTATCTATGTTATCTACTAGAAATATTGCTTTCAGCTTTGACCTTAAAATTTAAAATCCACTTTTCATTGGAATTTGTTAATAATATAAGATAGGAGTGTTTTTTCTCACATAAATAACTGGTTGACTCAAGGCTATTTACCGAGAAGACTGTCTTCACTCCTCTTCTGTGCCTGTTTTGTAATATACAAAATGTCCAAATGTGTGAGTCTGAGTTGGACTCTCGAGTTTTTCTAGTTTTCTTTGTGCCTATTTTTGCATTACTACCATAGATAGCTTTTATTACTATAGCTTTAATCTAAGTCTGAATATATGTCATTTTAAGCTCACAAACTTTGTTATTCTTCAGGACAGTTTTTACATTTCTTCGATTTTTTATATGTATTTAAATTTTTTAAACTGATTAGACAGTTTCCACAAGATTTCTGCCAAAATATTGTATTGTGAAAATGGAAATCTATGAATCAATTTAGGGAGAAGTTACATAGAAACAAAGCAAAACAAAACACTAATAACATCCAAAACAAACTTAAAGAGAACACCACAATAAGAAAAGAAATTCCCAAATTGGAATAAATATTTACAACTCATGAAATTACAAATGGGCTCGCATTTCCATAAAGGGCACTCTCTCTCTCCCTCTCTCTCTCTCTTTTTTTTTTTTCCACAGAGACTCACTCTGTCACCCTGTCTTGAGTGCAGACGTGCAATCTCGGCTCACTGCAACCTCTGCCTCCCAAGTTTCAGCAATTCTTCTGTCTCAGCCTCCTGAGTAGCTGGGGCTACAGGCTTGTGCCACCATTCCCGGCTAATTTTTTGTAATTTTAGTAGAGACGGGGTTTCACCAGGTTGGCCAGGCTGGTTTTTAACTCCTGACCTCAAATGATCCGCCCGCCTCAGCCTCTCAAGTGTTGAAATTACAGATGTGAGGCACCACAGCTGACCTGTAAAGACCTCTTAAAAATTAGTTAAAAAACAAACAAAACAGAAAAAGAGAAAGAAGAAACAGCCACTCAGTTAAAAGAAAAAGATAAAGAAAAAGAAAAAGAAAAGAAAAGAAAAAAAGGCAAAAGACATTATTTTACAGGTCTAGTGCCCTGTGCCCCTCACTGTAATGGGGGTGGATATGGGCTTCACAGGACATGAAATTCATCAAACAGTTGCTGGTTGAAGGAGGGAAAATCTTGCGGGACCAGCCTCCAGAACAGAGCCTGTGGTGCACTGTTTCATCCCGTAGCCCTGGTAAGAAAACCTGGCTGTGCCGTGCTTTATGTTCACCTGCATTTGCCCTGTTCAGAGGCCTGAGCTACCGTGGACACAAAAGTCTGCTCAAACTCTCCCCATCCCAATATTCTCTCTGGTATTGAGCATGACACCCTGTCTTCACTGAGCATGTGTTTATGCAGTTTTGTGACCACCTATCCATTTTACAACAGGAAGACTGAGGCCCCCAAAAAAGGCAAAGACTGGTCCATATCCCAGAAATTGGGAAGAGCACAGAGTATTAGGGAGGGATCCAGCTTCCAAGGCCTTGCATGCACCCCACCCATCAGGTTTGCTTTGGAAATGAGTGCTCTTAAGTCCTGGAAAACCCTGTGGTCTACTTTCTACCTGGGCTTTCTACCCTTCCTTATTCTCACATAGGTGTGCAGCCATGAACACACAAACACACCACACACACACACACACACACACAGGCTTCTAAGGTGGAGATCATGGAGGTGAGGTTAGAGAAGAGGAAACCAGAGAAGTGACAAAACGGGAAGAAATAGAAGAGGCAGCTTTGCCATGAGGCAGAGGCATCCACTCCCCCAGCTACATGACCAGGAGCTGACAGCATGTGATGAAGGATCCTCCAGGTTCCCTGGGTTCTTCCAGGCCTGGGGATCTTCCCAGCTGTTTCAAGAGGACAGGACAGGGGTTGTGACTCCCACCTCTATGGGCACCTGGAACTAAAATGAGCTATGCCCTCCCCCAACCACCCCATGTGATATAAAGTGAGGCTACGGGAAAGAAAACCTTCGTTTTCTCTCTCATAAATAGGGGTACTCAAAAGGAATAATACCAAGAATTCTAGATACTCATAAGTGTCTGCTCCCCTTGGCTCTTCATTGGTAACTCACTGTGCTTTGAGACTCTGGGAAGAGGCTTTTCAGGTTCTAGAGGTCCTTCAGAGAAGAGAGAGGCCTAGAGATGTGGGCAGATGAGGACTTGGAATAAAGCAGAATGTGACAATGCACTGGGCTCTGGAGTGTGGGGCCCAGAAAAAATACTAGATTTTTGGGCTGTCCTTGAGGTCCTCATTCAGAAGTGGAAGAAAATAATGTCTCTGAATGCTGTTAAAGTGTTTAATGAGTGCACAGCACACTCAAAGAGGCTGAGGAAAATAGGAATCAAGGGAGGTTTCCGAGGTTACTTTTATGGCCCTTGGAGTCTTCAGATACTGCTCCTTTTCCCAGGGGTCCTTGAATAGCCACTGCCTTGAGAATTCCCCAATGCAGGTGCCTGTTTTGTGATGCTTCCACCTGGGACTTCAGGGCTAGTGGAGGCCTCTAGGTGGCGGCAGACCCCGTGTTTCTTATGCCCGCTGGGCTTTACTGGAGCAGCTGGAGCCGGGGGAGAGACAGGCTGAGGTCCTGCAGCTCCTGTTATCATTCATGATCTCCACATTATTGGGTGGCCAAAAGTGGGAAGAAGGGCTTTGTGATTTTCCATGTTATTTTACTCAGCGACTCTTCCCCTAGCACTCACCATGTGGCAGCTACCTTGGTAGGTTCACCTTATGGTACCAAAAATGATTATGTTATCCCTGCCTCCCCGCGGGGAGCCCACAGTCTGAGGACGGCAGGACAAAAACACTAAAGCAAGTACATGTGAAAGAAAAGAGCATTTTATAATGGAAATAAAGTAGAATGTTGGGAGGGAGGGCTGGGGAGAGGTT